>NW_013171804.1:0-163882 GCF_000001405.40 Homo sapiens
GCTAATTTTTTTTTCTTTTTTACTTTTTGTAGAGACAGGGTCTCATTATGTTGCCAAGGCTGAGCTCAAACTCCTGGCCTTAAAGATCCTCCCACCTCCACCTCCCAAAGCACTGGGATTACAGGCATGAGTGCCCAGCCAATTTTATATACTTTCTTAATCTCATCTTTACTATAACTATCTAATCTAGGTATTATCATTGCTTTTTTACATGTGAAAAAGAGGTTCAAAGAAATTAATTCATATTTTTAGTAAGTTTTATATCTGAGTCATACACTCAGATCAAAAGACCAATATTTTAAAATTCCAAATGAACTTCTTACACTGCAAATATATTTCTAAATAGTGGCAATTTCTATACTATAACGTATATTTAGTATGTGTGTTTTCTACTTAATATAGAACATCATTTAAAAACTACATGTGTATATTGGAAGAGCCTATTTTTTAAGTCCTAATTGCAGTGACATCATAAAAACAATACAAAGACATGTAATTTTTATTGAGTGAGATATTAAATGTATTAAATACAGTTTTTATTAAAGTTAAAATTTTAATTTATCAATCTACTTTCAAACATTTTATAAATTTTTAGTACAATTACTGGCATTTAATGAAACCTGGATCATAAAATGTGCCCTAAGCGGAAAGGTAAAGAACAGAAATGAATTGTTTTTTAAAAAATAAATAAGTACGATGAATCTTTAATAACAAGAACCTCCAATTTTGATAGTTATGCTTCCTCTCCACATATATCAATATAAAAAAATTTAAATTATTTGAAGCTTAACACAAAATTATAAAGCATCATACTGATGGAAATTGAAACCTAAATTATGAGCTGTTCTGAAACATACAATAAATTCCTTGGGATGAGACGACTTCTAGAAGCACAAGCAAGGAAGCAGTGGTAAAATCCATTTTTCTTCTGACTTCTCAGGCACATTAGGCTAATTCCAGAAATAGATTCAGTCAGTTGGCAAGTTAACCTCTCACTCTTGTCACAGAAGTCATCTGCAGCCTTGAGTTTAACTGTTTTCTTTCTTCCTGGTCTTGGTCCTTTATGTAGTAGCCCAGTATTTATGGTGCCACTTGGGAAATTTATCTATGATAAGAATGTACCTCTGAAAAGCATTTATTTTACAAAGCTTGGATGTGGGAATCATATATTACATAAAATCTCTTTAATTCTTTTAACATGGATTCCTTTTTCTACCATGGAGTACACTAAGTCACTCATTTGATGGTTTTGTGTTTACAATCTTATTTGCTCAGGACCCATTTTATTTGGGCTTTGGAAATGATTGAATCAAGTTGGAGGAAAATTTACTTTTGATCCATTTAATTCTAACCTTTCTTGCAAGCTCAATTTTTAGAATCTAGTTCAATGGGCTGAAAGAAAAACATCTCGCAACAGACAGTTTATTTCTTGTGCGATCAGAAATGCTAACAGTAAATATGAGCATATTTACTTTAAAAATTTAGATTTGAAATACATATTGTTTAGAATTTCAGAAGTTTTTAGGAGAACAACTATCTTACATACCAAGGATATACTAGGCATATGTATGCATTTATAAATGTTGTTGATAAATACTATTTTGTGGCAGAACTAGATGATTGGATGCTTTATTCAATATAAAAATTTTTATGTCTCATATACTGTAATGAAGCTACAACTTATTTAAAACACATTCTGATACTTAACCTTTAATAAATTATTGAATAACCACGACCAACATAGATCCATTAATACAGGTTGTAATAGCTAAAAGCAATGACAGGTAACATTCGTGTGGAATTTACTGTGGGTCCTACTTCATTCTGAAAACCTGGCTTATTTAAAGAGTTTAATCTTCCAACAATTCTAAATACAGTATGGTTGAGCAATTTGCTCAAGATTATACACGCAGGGATAGTCACTCAGTGGTTCCTTCCTTGGACATGTAAATAAAATTTGTGTGCCTTTTACAAAAAAAAAAAAAAAGATTCTACAGGTGTTAGGTGGTAAAGCTGGGATACATTTCCTGCTGTTTCCAGAACCCAACGTCTATGAGAAGTTATATATGCTTTGATTAAATTTCCTATTTTCCACAATATATTGTGCACCTATAGCCTGAGGTTAATGAAGTTATTGAATGCCTCTTTTAAATAAAATACTGGTTAGAAGATTATGTTCATGCACACCTAATTAAAGCAAACTCTCATGAAAATATCCACTGAAAAACAAAATTACTTTTCTTCTTTTCCATTAGCTAAAATATACATTTTTGCTCTATCATTTCCATTATTTCTTTCAATCTACTGTGTTCATCAAATATTAGCTATAAAAGCTTTTTTACAGTAGTTGATTTAAATTATAAAACTAACTTTTTGAGTCTGTTGGAAAAAGCTTGGAAGGACCTTGATAATTCAGTTATGCATGGATTAGTGTGCAGTAATACCAACCTTCAGTGCAAGCTCTGCACTTAAACTAGATTTTATAGCATGAGTTGGGTGCAGAACAGTTTTTGATTTTGCTACAGGTATCTGTTTCTCAACTGTCTATGAACTCTCCAGAAGAAATCCAAACATTATTGTTTTTTGATGGTTCATATCCACACTTTGACTTCATTTCCAATCTAAATAGATATTATTTTTTATTTATGGAAGTGATGTAGAATCATTGCAGAAGGGTTAAAAATGTAGAGAAGAAAACAGAACCACTAAAATACAAATCAAGAGTTAACAGTTGTTTTCATTTTGTATAATTTTTTGTGTTTTAAAATATATATATTATATGCATATATGTCATATTTTTTTCTTATTTTATATACCTCATAAATAGTTTAGTATCTTTACTTTTCATTCAACAGTTTATCATAAAAATCTACTTTTGTTAATTTAAAATAAATATATAGAGTTATACAGTATCCCTTCTTATGTTTTGACAATTTTTAATACTTAGAACCATTCCTATATTTAGCCCTCATAAATAATTGCGGTGAACATCTTAGAACACAAATTTTGTAAAAACTTTGAAAAATATATGCTCACTTTTTAGCCTGATTAACTAGATTGGGAAGTGCCAGATACAAATGTGTAAGCATTTTAAATGTTTTTGCATGCTAATATCAAACGAATTATTTCTACTGGCAGAGTTTGAGAGTGCCCATCTCAAGCCACTCTTGCAGTTATTGAAGTTTTTTTTCAGTCATCATTATTTGGTGTTTGAAAGTGATGTACTACTTTAACAATTGTCTGTCTCTGAGGACTAAGGAGGCTGAATATTTTTATGTGTGTATTACATATTAAAATTTCTTTTCCTGTGAATTGCTTGCTTCCTGGTTTATATTTGTTATTTGCAACCCAAAGATGGTCACTAATAAATAAACCATAAACACATGTCTCTTAGAAGGTTAAGACATCACTGGAATTCATCCACCTGTAGCATGTTGTCAAAATAACCTAAGCTTGAAGTGTATTCCCCATTTACTAAAAGGACTATCACAGGAAAGATATTTATTATATATTTATTTGTCATTAGTAGCATTAGGTTTCTGCTGACATGTTTCACCAGATGTGAGACGATTGGCCAGGGTGAAAGGTATGTGTGAGTGTGTGGGTGGGTATGTGTGGTGGGTGGAGAATGAACCTCATTAGGGTTCAGGATTTCGGCTTTCTTAACAGCATCTTTTAACACAAATATTTCCAGCAGGAGCATGCGTTGCAGTACATTAACACAATGATTACTATGCTAATGCAGCTCCATCTTAGCTTTCCTCATTCCTTTTTGCAGTTTTAGAACAGGCATAAAGACAATAGGTGGTGGTAATCATTTGGAGAGAAGAGAAAGAAAAGTGCTGTGTTCATGTGTGTTTTACCCAATCACCAAAATTTTTGATCACATGATATGTGCCAGGTGAAATATTAAGTGCTAATGTGTGAATGCGTTTGTGGGTCTTTATGTATGTGTGTGCTTATGTGGACTAGTGGTTTAGATTTGGGGTGATATATACAATAACACAATGAATGTGGAAGTCATTTAACACGGGTAGCACCACATCAGCCTTTAAGAATGAAGTTGAATGAAGTTGAAATTGTGCAACAGAGAGAAGTTGAAAGGAAGAAGATAAACAAAATTTAAATGGCTGTGATAAATATATTTAGTTGGAAATGTCTAATATAAAGGAAAGACAGGTAAATCAGGACTGAAGGTCTAATTTGGGAATCCTCAGTTTGAAGGCAATAGTTAAAGCTATAAGGCTGAATGACCCTTGTAAAGAGTACTGTGGAGAGGAACAGGTAGCTGAAGATGGAGCAATAATGGTAGAAATATGAGGGAAGTGGAGTGAAAGCAAAAGGGAGAGAGAGGCCGGGGGAGATGTAAGGAGGAAGTTGGGGAGAGAGAGAGAGATTAGAAATGTAGATGCTTCCCAAGAATAGTACAGGTATATGACAGCTAAGATAGGAAGGCATTTCAAGGAGGTAGTTGTAGTTCATATTATAAAATAAAAATCAAAGATAGTACCCACACCCTCCTCTTGGACTGAAGAAAGTGTGACTATTGGTGGCTGAGTAAAGGCATAAAAAACCCAATTTCAGGTCATTTAATATCTAAATAAAATGATTAACTTACCGTTGGCCATGCATAATTGTATTTAAGATGTTTAAATAAAGAAATATGGAGTCCAATTAATCTGTTTCTTTAACTCCCATCAATTGTTGCAGTGACATCTATTAGGGCTATTTTTCTTTAAGAAAAACCGTAAGAAATCCTGGCTTTAATAATCAAAGCTATGGATGGTATCTTTGATTAGTGTTCATTATTTAGGGTCAGATAATAAAATGCTTGATTTAATAACTTTATTTGTTGATGTGACCTGAAATTTTATGTTACTGGAGATAAAAACAGGTTTTAGCAGTTCCTCTGTTGATGGGCTTTATTTCCAAAAAGAAATCTCTTCTATTAATTTACATAGAAATGATTTAACAGTGTAATCCCTCCATTTTCATTAACATTACGATTTTTTTAGGCTCTCCTTCAACACATTGTTTTATGGGAAGAATTAAATTTTGCTCCTGTGTCTCTTTCATTACACGAAGTTTGTTTTCATTTGTCTGTGTTGTGGTGTTAGTTGGAAATTTAATGTGCTTTTCTCTTGAAAACAAGGAGACACCAATCTTTTCTTCTACACAGAATTGTTCCAGAGAAGTAATGTCAGTCCTTAGAGATATCATTCAGAAGAAAATTGGCATGAATGAATGTAAATTGACGCATTCAGAATTGGGAAAGCTAGATTCAGTTTATTCTTTACTATACAAATGTTTACATAAGTTCTTTTAATAATATTCCGATGAATTTCATAATTAATATTAGTAGTTGTTTTGAGTCACACTCAGGATTTCAACTACCTATGTCTCAGTTTTTTTATTATTGCTATATGATAGTTGTATATATTTTTGGGGGGCACATGTGATATTTTGATACCTGTACACAATGTGTAATGATCAAATCAGGGTAGGGATATTCATCACCTCAAACATTTATCTTTTCTTTATGTTGGAATCATTGCAATTCTCTTCTACTTGTTTTGAAATATACAACACACTACTTTAACTATAACTTCCCTACTCTACTATTGAATACTAGAACTGATCCCCTCTAACTGTATTTTCATACCCCTTAACCAATTTCTCTTCATTCCTCCTTCCGCTTTTGCTTCTCAGCCTCTAGTAATCACCAATCTATTCTCTATCTCTATGAAATCTATTTTAGCTCCCACATATGAGTGAGAATATGTGATATTTGTTTTACTGTGCCTGGTTTATTTCACTTACTATAATGACCTCCAGTTCCGTCAATGTTCCTGGAAATGACAAGATTTAATTCCTCCTATGGCTGAATAATATTCCATTGTGTATATATACCACATTTTCCTTATACATTCATCCAATGACAGTCACTGAATCTCGGTTTTTTCATCTGTAAAATTATGTGACTAAATCCCACCCTGATTTTAAAGGGTTTGGAAAGGCATGACCAATATTTAAGATATAGAAAGTTCACTCTTTAAAAAAATTATAAGCGATTCTTACTTATGTCTTTATTTGTTTTATGCTCAAAAGATAGATAACGTGCTCCTAAGAATTAAGAGGCACAGTGCCAGAAACCGTGAAGCTTTGCAAAAAGAAACATTAAGGAAATTAAAAAGAAATCATGATTTAATCTTAAAATGAAATAAAATTGCCCATATAAGTTTACGTCTACATTTTAAATTACAATATTTACTCAGACAGTTCTCTTTATAAGGGCTATAAAGAAACTTATTTGAAAATGAACTATCATAAAACCATAATAATCTAGACCTCATTTAATCAGAATTTGGGATAACATGGATACATTTGGACTTGTCTTTTCCCATTATTTGTGAAGAAGGTATTTGTTAAGCAAACTTAACAGTGCCACAAAACTTTAATATCTCCAAGTACTTCCATGCACACTAAGAGTACAAGTTTACATGGAAAATCTGTGTCCACATTCAACTGGCCTCTGGACTTAAAGATCTACTGAAAGAAGAGAGATTGCAACACACTAAAGGAGCAAGGGTCCCACTTAGAAATAGCCATTGTTAAATGATTCTGCATCAGTTACGTGGAATATGGTGAGATATAATCCATTTGGTGAAAAAGTTCATAGGTTTACAGAATATGTGCATCTGCTTGTACCGAACATGTAATTCACAGAGAGCAGGGACTGAACTTATCAACTGTGTAGGTAGCACATAGTAGGTTGTTGGGGCTCAGAAAACAAAATACCAAAGTGAAAGCCTCAGAAGTGGCCTCAGAAGCTCTTTCTCTCTGACCCTCCCCTGCCCTCCTGTCCCTGGCCCCTCATTCTGCCCCATGGCAAGTCACAGAAACAAGAATACCTCTTCCCTCAGGTGAGTCATAGAAACTAGAACTCCTTTTCCCCAAAGCCAGCCAAAAAAACTAAAAATATTATTCTCGCCTTCCCCTGCCTTTCTGTGTAGGAGATGGCCATAAAGAAATTGATGTACCTTGTTTGATAGTAGTCATAAGACCCCCATTCTGGAGAGAGGCTGCCCCATACCCAGGAGGAAGGAATGCTTCAGAGAAAGGCCAGGAAGAATCTGAACAGAGAAGCCTTTCTGGGTTTCCTAAGTCAGTCTACTGCCGTAAGATTATACTCTTTTGGTCCAAGCACATTGCTACATGGCTGCCTATACTTCATTGAACCTAAGCATAAAAACGGATTGATAGGCCAGGCACAGTGGCTCATGTCTGTAGTCCCAACACTTTGGGAGGTCAAGGCGGGAGGACCACTTGAGGCTAGGAGTTTGCGACCAGCCTGGCCAACATGGTGAAACCTCATCTCTACCAAAAATAAAAAAAAAAATTAGCCAGGCATGTTGGTGCATGCCTGTAGTCCCAGCTACTCGGGAGGCTGAGGCAGGAGAATCACTTGAACACGGGAGGTGGAGGCTGCAGTGAGCTGAGATGGCGCCATTGCACTCCAGCCTGGGTGACAGAGTGACACTCTGTCTCAAAAAAAAAAAAAAAAAAAGTTGGTTGATAGTTTTCCCTGGGTCATTTGATCTTCATCCTGAAAGCTCCCATGTCACATAAAACTAGGATTAAATAAATTTGTTGTGCTTTTCTCTTGTTAACCTATCTTTTGTTATAGGAGTGTCAGCTGTGACCCTTGTAATGGGTAAGACTTTCTTTTCACCCCCTACAAGGTGCTCAGTAAATATTTTTATGAATAAATCCCTTGCCTTATTTAATTTCCGTTAACTCTAATCTATTAATGTTTATTGAGGACTTGTTTAGCACCAGATACCCTCAGTCCTGTATGAAGGACTTGTGTATCTACATATTCCTAGTTCATTTGTGTGGGAGTAAGATGAAAAACACAGGTAAATAGAGGCTTAGATTTGCCACAAAATGGATCAGGAAAACTATTTTCCTTAATTTTTTTCTAATTGAAAGGCTTTGAGTAACACATTAGTTCTGTGCAATTTGCCTCTTAGGGTAATTTTAATTAGAAGGTAAGTTTGCCCTGTCCATCAGATCAATAGTATTTTTAAATAGCTAATTATACATTTGCTAGTTCATAATTAAGATTTGGAAATCTGCCTATATGTCTTAATTCAGAGAAATGCTAAATTAAATATGTCCCTCAATGCCTAATTTGTTAGAATACTTCTAAAGAAATGGCAATTAGCTAGGACTAAACACTAAATTTTAAAGTTATTTTTATAAGAGACATTTGCCATAGTAATATAGAATTGTGGTGTTCAGAATGAAAAAAATGAAGAAAGAATGTTCTGGAAAGAGTTTGAGAGTGAGAAGGATGGTGAATTTATAGCCCAAATTATCCTATATTCCACATTTACCTTCCTTTAATAGTCTCCTGTTTGGCGGCCCAAACAAGGACTCTGATGTCTGATGATACTATTATGACAGACAAATTTGCTGGTGGAA
Organism: Homo sapiens; assembly: GCF_000001405.40. Lineage (NCBI taxonomy): Eukaryota > Metazoa > Chordata > Mammalia > Primates > Hominidae > Homo > Homo sapiens. The sequence goes on from NW_013171804.1 coordinate 8,488, forward strand.
ATAACTATTTAACCCTGAATGGCTATAGAAGGAAAGAAATATTCTAAAATGTCAAGTGTAAACATATCAAACTGTAAGAGTGACACCCCAAATTGACACCCTTCTTTCTAAGGAAAGACTTTTTCACACTGGTTTCTCCATTCTTGAAATCTTGCTGATAACTTACATTATACTACTAAAATAAAGAGTGTGATCAACCTTTGTTAAAAGTTAATTTGTACCCTGGTGTGCAGACTGGAGGCAAGGAATGGGGGTTAGCTAACGTTTGAAGTACTCTAATTGGGACTATTCCCAGCAGGATGGTTGCTCAGAGGCTCTCACTCTAGAGAGAATGTCACTGTAAGACCTTCGGCTATTCTATTTTACTTCTCATTAATACTAGAGGTTTGGTTATTTAGCACAACGAATATTAGGCATGAATTTTTATGGTGAGATAGGGTTCAAGATACATCGATTACTATAAAATAATATACGGCTACTTTGAGTCTTGAACAAACTGTGCTCAAAAATCTAGTGATCTCAAGAGCCTACACCTTTCAAAATATTGCACTGGATTTAGGATTTTCTACCAGTCCTTTGCTTAAATATTTATCAGAGGATTTTGTTAGCTGGTTCTGACTAGAGATAAATTATGCCACGCCTTAAGTGAAACTTAAGTGCAAGGAGCAGTTAGAGGGACTAAAGGGACAGAAACTGAAGACCTCATCAAGCTTGGAGGTAATATGGCTGTTTCCATGCCAGCATTCCTATAAATATTTGTTGGTGAGGCTGATTTTGGTTTGCAATTTGCTTTCAAATTACAACACACTCTATAAGATTACAGAAGACAGGACATACAGTTTTGTCTTCCTGAGCCGTTGGAATTCTCTTGACTAACTACCAAAGATGGCTACAGTTGATCAAATAGTGTTACATAATCTTATCTCAGAAATCAATCAGAGGAAGAATAATTATGTTTTATGTCATATGTTTTATGCACAGATAGGGACTTATTTAAAGTCTCATAGGTATGGAGTAGGGGCCATTCCCTTGGCCCAGAGAACCTGGCTCTAAGGTTAGAACCATTGTCCTCTGTTTACAAGCTGTGAGCCCCAGGACAGGTTGCTTAACTATTTCCTCATTTGTAGAATGAGTTTAATAACAGTATCTATCTCTTACTGTTGTTTTGGAAATTTAAAGGATTAAAATATGTGAAAATTTTGGCTTATAAGGATGTATACAGCAAACTATAGCTACTATTATCACAAAATGGACACCAATGTCTTGTGCTCTCCCTACTTTGTGTAGCGTTTTTCCCATTAACAATTCTGTTGAAAATTTGTTTGTTTCTACTTCTTTGTCTGTCTATAATGTATGTATAGTCTGAGCAATATGAGCCATATGATCAAATGACTAATAGAATGCAATGATATATTTGGATCAAAATTTTCCTAAAATTTTCAGGGAAAATCAACTAAGATAATTATATTTTTCCTGAGCTTAAATGGAAGAAAATCTTATGTATCTTAGAATTTTTGAGTTCAGTTCTGTTCAACACAGTCTACTAATTCTATTGCTTTGCTTTATTCATGCAAGTCCTGATGAAGGAAGAGTTTCTCAGACTTTTCAGCAAAGAAATTTTTCTTTCTTTATGAAATGTTTATTAAGCACCTGTTATTACACACTGGGGGACCCGAAGAGTTATACAACAGCTCATTTATAAAACCTAGCAGGAGGGACACAATGTAAACATGAGCAAATGACAATAAAAATTTCATTTGAAATAAATGTAATATTTGATAAGTGTTCAAGACATTTAGAGGAGGGAGTCATCGTTGCATCCCAATAATTTTGTGAACAAGCACTGAATTGGTACATGTGGAAGGATTCAGGAAACTTTTACCCACAATGTAGGATTTAAGCAACACTTTGAAGAATACATAAGATTCAGAAAGATGCTGAGTAGAACTAGATGGAGAGGGAGTTCAATGAACTTAAGGATCTCTGTTCTAGAAACATCTTCCCCTCTTTCTGTCTCAGTCTCCCTCCCTCAACCAACTCACTTATTGCTTTAAATAACTTGCTTAATTTGACTTTGCATTCGTACTGAAATTCTACCAAATAGGGATGCACTTGAAAGGAATGACATGGTCAGCTTCTCATACTATGATGTGATTTAGTTAGTTCTTTAATGACAATTGCCAGGTCTGTTTGTAGATAGTTCCTTCAACAATGCCTAGCACAATGCTTAGTAAGCAGTACATGTCAATGAAAACAGGTTTCTTTTATTTGGTTTCTTTAATCAAATGAATTTTTACTCTAACAGGTTACTGAGATCAATAGGACAATTATTCAAATAAAAGAGGGAAACAAAGAGCAATAAATTTGAGAATATGAAATAATTAAGTGGCTAGAAAGCTTAGAGGGAGAAGAAAAGGGCAGTGGGAAAGGATTTTGCCAAGAATGGAAGATCAGGATAGATAAGATGGTGAGCAGAAATTAAGACAATTACAATTACGGTTGGAGGGGGGGTGTTGTTTGTTTTTGTAATGAGTGACACAGTGAGGGAAGGCAAGGGAAAAAGCATGAATAAAGAAGAGTGAAGAATTTATGTTGGGTAATATTGGGAGATAAATTTGGAAAGGTAGCACAAGCCTGTGCTGAACTGTGGAGGATCATGCTAAAGAATTTGGATTTCATCTTATATGCAACTAAAAATACTCTTAGTTGTTCTACTTATATCCTACTGCTCAAAATTAAGCTAAAGGGAACTTTGCAGATATTCTGCAACATTTGGGGAAAAATGGCAGTGATTGGTGTAATTTTCAAATCTCCCCAAATCTGCCCTCCTTCCATAGTTGAAGCAAGTAAAAGACATATGAGCAAGTAAAGGAAACATAGGAGACATGGGGGTAGAAAAACCTGTTCAAGACCAGAAGAATGGAATGAGAGAAGCTCTACATGAAAATTTATAAATTTATTAGATATATAACTGGCATTTTTTTAAAAGGAGGAGAAACTTAATAGATATAACAACCAAATGCAATATTTTAGACAGTGAAATTTGGACCTGTACTAGGAATTAGGTAACATTAAATAATTACTTTATTGGTTGTGATAATGGCATTATGCTATGTTTAAAAATCCTTATCTGTTAGAAATACACATTGACCTATTCACAAGTAAAGTGATATGATGTCTGAAATATACTGTAAAAGAATCACATTTTCCTCATCCTCCAAGTTGATATTAAGAATATAATATTGCAATATATTGATAACATTGAAACTCGCTGCTGGGATGCTGACTTTCATTATTCTCTCTTCTTATGGAGGTGTTTGAAAATTTCCACAGTGGGTCACTATTTTACAGTTTGACACATGAAGGTGTATGGGGCTCTTACAGAACTTTAGGATTTGACAACTCTCTCTACACCCTCTTGAATAAGCATTATTCAAGAGACCATTTCCATATCAATTAATGTCCAGAACATTCATACAGAGAGTTGAAATCGGGTTCCCCTATCATAGAGAGTGCCACTGGCTTCTGCTTTCCTACCAGAGAATCAGAGCAGAGCTCATTCACAGAAGTTTCAGGTTTCACAGTGTTATATACTGGTTCCTAAAAATTCTATTTAGGATACACAATACTAGTTTATATTTTACCATGTTATGAAGTATAAAAGTCTATTTCCATGAGCTGAGGGGCAAACTGACACAATGTGACATTACAGAAAAAGTTCAAAGAGCAAAGTCTCTTCCTTTTAGTAAACGTACTTCTAGTACAATATATCTGTAGCAATTAATAAATGATCATAAGGAGTTACAGTTGTCATAATGGAATGACTGAACCATAAAATATTGCTGATATTAATTCAAAATAGGAATGCTATTTTGAAAAACAGTTTGGCAGTTTCTTATAAAGGTAAACATACACTTTATATGCAACTTAAAAATGCCACTCCCAAAACTCCAAGGTATTTACCCAGGAAAGAAGAAAACTTAGGTTCTCACAAAAACCTATATTCAAATGACTACAGCAACTTTAATTCATAATCACTCCAAACTGTAAACAATCCAAAATTCCTTCAACTGGTGAATGGATAAGTGAATTGTGGTACATCCATACCTGGAATGCTTTTCAGTTAAAAAATAAAAACAAAAATGAACTACTGATACACACAACAACATGGTAGGATGTCAAATGCAATACACTAAATGAAAGCAGCCAGAGTCAAGGGTTACGTAATGGATGATTACATTTATATGATGTTCTGGAAAAAGAAAAACGTAGGGGCAGCAAACAGAGCAGTTGTTGCCTAATGATAGAGGTGGAGAAAGGCATTGACTGCAAAGAGGAATGAAGGGATCTGTGGGGTGCCTTACCCCATTTGGGCTACTATAGCAAAATATCTCAGACTGGGTAGTTTATAAACAGAAATTTATTGCTCACAGTAAGGATGGGAAGTCCAAGACCAAGGCACCAGCAGATTCAGTGTCTGGTGAGGGCCTGTTCCTCTCAGACAGCACCTTCTGGCTATGTCCTCACATGGCAGAAGGGGTAAACAAGCTCCTTCAAGCCTCTTTTATAAGGACAGTAATTCCTTTAGCCAAACAGGCTGAGCCTCATGGCCTAATCACCTCCCCAAGGCCCTACCTCTTAATACTTTTACTTAATACTTTTGGGGTTAGATTTCAATATATGAATTTTGGGGGATATAACATTTGGACCATAGCAGAGGGTGATGGAATTTTTCTATATCTTGATTGTGATATTGGTTTTATGATTCTATGTGTTTGTCAATACACAGAATTACATGCTAAAAAGAATATATTTTATGTATGTAACTTACACCTCAATGAACCTGACTAAAAATAGGTTTAAACAATCTAAAAGAATTCTTCCTCAGTTTCCTGCACTAGAGTCTCATTTCTTTCCTTGTTTCTTTATTTGTGAAAAAGCTCAATGGCAGCATAATATTCTATCATTTGGACAAACTGTGACTAGCAAATATTTTTTCTATTTGAACATTTAAGCTATCTTTTAACTTTTCATTATTATAAATAAAAGTCAGATATACAGGCACACCTTGTATTATGGTGCTTTGTTTTTTCTGCTTCACAAATATTGTGTCTTTTACAAATTGAAGGTTTGTGGCAGTCCTTCATCAAGCAAGTCTATCGACACCATTTTCTCAAAAGTATGTGTTCACTTCATGTCTCTGTGTCACATTTAGGTAATTTTCACAATATTTCAAACTCTTTCATTATTAGCATATCTGTTATAGTCTGCGATCACTGATCTCTGATGTTACTCTTGTTATCTAGTTGTTGTGGGGCACCACAAACCAAGTTCATAAGAGACAGTGAGTTTAACTGACAAATGTGAGTGTGCGTTCTGAATGCTCCACCAACCGGCCATTCTCCCATCTCTCTGCCTCTTCTTGCACCTCCCTGTTCGCTGAAACACAACAATATTGAAATTATGCCCATTAATAACCTATAATGGCCTCAAAGTGTTCAAGTGAAAGGAAGAGTCACACATCTTTCACTTTAAGTCAAAAGCTAGAAATGATTAGGCTTGATGAGGAAGGAATGTGAAACACCCAGATAGCTGAAATCTAGGCCTCTTGTGCCAAAAAGCTAGTCAAACTGTGAATGCAAAGGAAAAATTCTTGAAGGAAATTAAAAGTCTACTCCAGTGAATACACAAATGATAAGAAAGTGAAACAGCCTTATTGCTGATATGGAGAAAGCTTCAATAGTCTGGATAGAAGATCAAACCAGCCACATTTCCTCAATACTAATCCAGACCACAGCCCTAACTCTCTTTAATTCTATGAAGTCTGAGAGAGGCAAGGAAGCTGCAGAAGAAAAGTTGGAATCTAGCAGAAGTTGGTTCATGAGTTTTAAAAAAAAAGCTGTCTCCATAACATAATAGTGCAAGGTAAAGCAGCAAGTGCTGATGTACAAGCTGCAGCATGTTAGCTGGAAGATTTAGCTAAAATAATTGATGAAGGTGGCTACATTACACAACAGATTCAATGCAGACAAACAGGCTTCTATTGGAAGAAGATACATCTAGGGCTTTCAAAGCTAGAGAGAAGTCAATGCCTGGCTTCAGTTCTTCAAAGGATAGGCTGGTTATCTTGTTAAGGACTAATGCAGGTGGTGACTTTTAGTGGAAGACAATACTCATTTACCATTCCAAAAATCTCAGGGCCCTTAAGAATTATGCTAAATCTACCCTGCCTGTGTTCTATGAATAGAACAACAAAGCCTGGATGAGAGCACATCTGTTTAGCAGCATGACTTACCGTGAATATTTTAAGCCCATTGTTGAGACCTACTGCTTAGAAAAGAAAAATTTCTGTAAAAACATTGCTGCTCATTGACAAGCACCTAGTTACCCAAGAGCTCTGATGGAAATATGTAAGGAGATTAACACTGTTTTCATGCCTGCTAATACAACATTCATTTTCTAGCCTATGGATCAAGAAGTAATATCAACACTTAAGTCTTATTATTTAATAAACACATTTTATAAGGCTAGAGCTGCTATGGATAGTGATTCCTCTGATGGATCTGAGCAAAGTAAATCTAAAACCTTCTGGAAAGTATTCACTAGTCTACATGCCATTAAGAACATTTGGGATTCATGGGTTAAGGCCAAAATATCAACATTAATAGTTTGAAAGTTAATGGAATTTGGAAGAAGTTGATTCCAATCCTCACAGATGACTTTGAGAGGTTCAAGACTTCAGTGGAGGAAGTAACTGCAGATGTGGTGAAAACAGCAAGAGAACTAGAATTAGAAGTGGAGCCTGAAGATGTGACTGAATTGCTACAGTCCCATGATAAAGTTTAATGGATGAGCAGTTGCATTTTATGCATGAGCCAAGAAAATGATTGCATGAGACGGAATCTACTCCTGGGAAAGATGCTGTGAACATTGTTGAAATGAAAGAAAGGATTTATAATATTACACAAGTTAGTTGGTAAAGCAGTGGCAGGATTTAAGCAGATTGACTCTAGTTTTGAAAGATATTCTACCATGGGTATAATGCTATCAAACACCATCACACACAACAGAGAAATCTTTCATGAAAGGAAAAGTAAATTGATGTGCAATTGATGAAGCAAACTTCACCGTTGTCTTGTTTTAAAAAACCGCAACAGCCACCCCAACCTTCCACAACCCCCAGCCTGATCAGTCAGCAGTCATAAGCATGGAGGAACAACCCTGCACTAGCAAAAAGATTATGACTTGCTGAAGGCTCAGATGATTGTTAGCATATTTTAGCAATAAACTATTTTTAATTAAGATATGTACATTGTTTTTTAAGACAATGCTATCAAACACTTAATAGACTACAATAGACTGTGAACAGAACTTTTATATGCTCTAGGAACCAAAAAATTCATGTGACTTGCTCTTTTGTGATATTGCTTTATTGCGGTGGTCTGGAACTGAACCTTTAATATCTCCGAGGTATGCTTTTAAAAATAAATAATCAGTATTATTTCCTCTACAGATGTGTTAACATGGCTGGGAATATTTCGATAGTCCTTTGTAACTGATATTGCTACTTTGTTTTTCCACCAGAGCCAGGCCTGGTGGATTCTACAGAAACAAGAAAAATATGCTCAAAACAATCTTAATTTTCAGAAATGTAGATTTCTATTTTGATGACCGCAGTCTGTAGATTGAGCTTTGTGGAACAGGGGGATGGGGTGTTGACAGATAAAGAAAAATAAATCCTCTCAACAATTTTCTAAAAGCCTGGCTAAACTAGGGTCAAAGTATCTGAGAAGCAGTGTAAATATTCCAATGAGTTTCATTTCCTGATCAGACATATTAGTTTCCATATGCCAGAGTCCTGGTGGCAAATTTACACTCTGTCCAAATGCTGCTTTTATGGGTAACTGGAGGCTCTGTGTGTAGCTTCAGCATCTGTAATAATGGTTTTGCACAAGAGATGTGTCTAACAAAGTTGAAAGTATAGATAATTTCATTGATTGCTTTAAATTCCACCATTGGCGCTGCATGTGGAGCTGCGTTCTGAATCACCCCAGATGCACATCCTTTTAGAACGGCAGTCCTGCTACCATCCAAGTACCCATAAAGGTCTTTAATTAGGTAATCTCCAAATAGCAACAGCACCATCCTCTGACTTTATTAACATAAAATCTCTCTTTTGCAAAGCTCTTTCAATGTGCAATAGGGGAGAATTCCTGGATGAAGATGGGCAGGTAAGAGTAAAGAGAGAAGACAGAAATGGAAATGACAAAACAGATAAAAGCAGAGTAATATTGTGGTTCATCTTGAGGTGCTTGTTAAAACTTCACTTTAAGAAACTTTAACCTATTAACCTTTTTAAAAAACTTGGCCTCTGCTAAGGATCTGCATCACTAACAAGAACATTTATTTATTAAGACTCTCTGTGTCTAAGCATTTTTAATGACCCCCATTGCCATGGCACCATCTGGACACCTGACATTTTAAAAACAAACATTTCAGCATAATTGATGAATTCTACCTTAGATGGCTATTATGCACATCTGACTGCTAACAAACAGGCAGCTCTCATTCCACCAAATTAAACCTCGCCAAGCAGAAATATCACATAGAACAATTTAATATGGGTGTATTATGAAGAAAGCTTAACCTGAAGAGACCCTCTATAACAATAAAGGTGATGGATTCACAAAAAACAAACCACAAGAAATAACCAGGTGGATTTTGGCCAGAGTATACTCACAATGGAGAGGTAGCAGGGAGATGTCAGTATTGCACCTGAGTCATACCTTAACCATACAAACAGCTACAGCAAAGCACGCACAGCCAGCAAATGACCCATCCATCGAACAGCCATGATTATCCTGCCTTCCACTATAAGAGGACATACCCTTTGCTAATACTCTCTCAAATTTCTGTTTATTGTGGAGAAAGGTAGGGGAATTAATTAAAAAAGGCACCGGTTACTAATGAAGCACTTTTGATTCATGCATCCATTTATTTAACATAATCAACAGAAACGAATTTATATATGAAGTACTGTTCTAGGTCCTGGGGTTGCAGCAATAAACAAGAAAATTTCCCTACATGTTTACACTTAAGATCCCCTTGGAGCCTGGGGAAGGTTTAGCAGGAGCCTTTGAGCTATCTGTGCATTTGTGAATTAAATATTACTTTTCGTCTTGTATGGATCAGGGAACCAAGACTCTGACAGATTGAGTTACCTGTACAAGTTTACATAACTAGTAGGTTACAGAAATAGCCCTAGGATTTAGGACCCCAACATAGCTCAGTTTTGCACAATCAGGAAGCTTGCTTCAGGTAAACACCTTCTGCCTCATTTCCTTCAGGCACCTCTAGATAAATGGCACCACAGGCTTCTTTAGGTTCAATACTTAAAGCTCTGGATCGGGTTCAAAAATCAGAGTTTTAAGAGAAGTTGGTGGAACTCAGGGCTCAGAGGTTCTTCATTTAATTTCAGCTAGGTTAGGACTTTGAGAGGTTTTTTGGACTACCATTGTGAGCTACATTGCTGCTCTAGGAAAAATACATCCAGAGTTCTAAATGAGTGACTTACAAATCAACTTTTGGAGCCTACTAACCCGCTCTTTTGACTTTTAACTCTCTGATTTCTAACATCTACTTTTCCATGCAAGTTTCCAGCTCATGCCATCCTAAATAAAGTAGAAACTAGGCACATATTTTTCTTCTTTGATTCTTCCTATTTCTTTCAGAATTGTTCTCATGCAATAAGCACCTATCTAGTTTCTGCCCACCTGGCTTCCAATATGCAATAACTGATTACTACCACTAGCTCCCTGTGTGTGTGTGTGTGTTTGGGGGGTTGGTGTCGGGGGTGGGGGGGTGTTGGGAGTTCAAGCCCTTATATTACAGCATTCTGAAACTCTAATCAAATCACTCTAATCATCGTAACAAAAGATTTTTTCCCTGTTTTACAAGAATTTTTAACATAGCCTGATTCATAATACCTTATACCATATATTATCTAGAAGATAGGATATTTATCTCCAGAGAAATGGTAAGGTAAAGAGAGAAACAAAATATTCAATATAAAAAACTATTTACCCAAGATTTTTCAGAAAAATCACACTTGTAGATCTTAATATTAATGAGGCACTGAAGTATATTAAGAAATGCAACGTACAAATTAACATAATGAAAAGAATTAAAAGAAAGCTAAGTAATGATCAAGTCATTAGGCAGCCCATACTAAAGAACAATTTGCAGAATCAAAATTCAACAGACGGATACACCACTATTAGTGAAAAAATTGATTATTCTATTATATAAACTTACTTTTGCCATTTTTAGAAGTTATGCCTGTTTCTTTTATAATTAATTATGTGCCTATAATGGTAGAGAATTTATAGTTTAGATAAACCTATACAAATAGAATTCTCCACACCAACAATAAGGCCCTTTATGATGTCTAATTTATATTACTTGATATTTTATATGTAACTAGATTTCTTTTTTCCAGTCTTAACAACTTACTTTTTGGCCTCAATCTGGTTACTGGGCTTCCGCCTACTTCTTTGCACCCAAATTTGTGTCTTAGAAATTTGCTTAATATCCTAATCCCTCTAGGAATTGAGGAAGTTGTTCTTGCTTGACCAGCTCTTTCCAGGAGATTGGAGCCCTGCTCATTGCACCCATCAAGTAAGGGTCACCACAATGTACCAACGCTTCCTTGTGCTATCTCCCTCCTTAGATTTTACTTTCAGTGGTATGTTGGACCAAGCTCTTACTGGCTTGCAATAGCCTGTTGTTAAATGTTCAAGAATTTTGTGAGTGGGACTACTGCTGGAAATTAATCACCGTAGAAGTATTTAACCCAAAGAAATCATGAAATGCTTTTAATGCCTGGAGAGCTGACTTATCAACAAACACACCACTGGATCATCGCCCCTTTCAGAATACGTTAGGTAACTCTGTTTGGATCCCCTGACCATTAACTATTATTGAAAGGTTTATTTTATATAACATTCTACTGGACTTTGTCCCAGTACTTTCAGCTGGCCTTACTTGAAAGTAACTGCCTCACCCTAGTAAGACAGTGTGGTTCTGGATTCTGGTTCCTTCAGTTTTTCCTCTATTGTTCTATGAGCAACTAAGACATGAACAGCTGAATCTAAATCCCTAACGCTCTGAATACTCTAGGCAGTCTGGCTGTTGCATCTGAGCCTGTCCTTTTGTTACCCAAAGCCTCCCTCTGCTGGCCCCAACTATTAAAATATGCCTACTTGTGTTCTACCCTCTCAAATGCCTATTCTCCTTTAGTATAGACACATTTTGAATATGGTTTTAGAAATACAGACTCCAAGAGAGGTGAGCTAAGACATGACTGGTCTATGATGGTGATTGTTGGCTGGATCTCAGTGTTCATTTTGGATGTCCTAATTTAATGCCAGTTAAACAGTCATCTAACTCTAGCATAAAGGCTTTTTAGCAATAGGCAGTAAGTAGATTGTGAATGACAGGCTGAGCTGGGCTTTGATATCATTAGCAAGCATGTTGGTTGCTTACTTGCTGCTTCAAATCTATTCTCCTTAATGCCCATTCTGTGTTTTCGAACTGGCCTGTGATAGCTGGAAAAAGGCTCTTCTCTTCTTACTAAGATTGTTAAAGACTTAGCTCTGTTAGTAAAATCAGAAAACTCGCAATCTGTAAATGCCTGATAACGTCACTACACATAGGAACATGACAATGCATCAACTTTCATGTGATTTGTTGTCTTTTAAACAAATTGTCTACTTCTTAGTCTTATGGCCATTGCATTCCTAAACGAACTCAATCTCTGGACTAGGTCTCATCTCACTATAAATCATTTGCTGCATTGCAAAGACCAATACTGAGTATTCTTGTGCTTATGTTTCTCCTTTAGATAAATCTTTTTGTGTTCTCACAGACTCTAACCCCTTATAGACTACAGTTTTGTTGTTTGAAGGAATTTAAGGTAAACAGCTTTTGTCAATCAGAACTCCTCAAATTATTGTATGTTTTGATATTCAGTATCATTTTTAGTGGTATAATCTGTAATTTAGGAAGCATCCACATTATTTCAACTCATTTTAAATTTTAAGAATATGCCACAAAAAGATTTGAAATATCTCCAAGGTATATATAAAATATTTTAAACAAATTATCATATAAAATATAAACCTCATACCCTTATTCTCTTCCTACATTTCAACCATCTCAACACAATTATTTTTGGAACTATATAATCATGTCAGTTTAAAATCACCTATATAGTATAAACTCTCTGGAATTCGAAAATTTTGGCACATAACACTCTGTGGCTGTTTTTTTTTACTTGGCTCTTGTTGGCTAAGATGATCAAGATCCGGAATGATTGCATCCCATTTAATTCTTCCCAAATGTTTCTCTTCCTGACATTCTTTAGCCATATGGATCATTCCCATTTTCAAAAGGTGAAAAAGTACCAGGAAAAATTAATTTATGTTTGGATGATATAACCACCCTGCAAATAAAGAGAATGAGGGCAAAACTGCCTGCGGAGGGCAAAACTGCCTGTATACCAGAGGTAGGACTGAAAATCAAACCTCCCCTAGAGCCCATAAAACTCATGTCTTTTGGTATAGCAAGAGCAGAGGAACTAGTAAGTGTACAGCACTGAGCCATAGCTCAGATTCAAAACACGTGTGTATAGGAAAAACAAACAAAACAAAACAAAACTCCAAACTGGGCTTATTTTCAATGTAAGTTTTGTTCAATTGACCAGGGCACGGGGAAGCCAAAAATGAGCTAATTTTCAGTGTCATTTGCATTATCCGCCAGGTGTTAAACTCATTATAGGCCATAGCATCATTTGCTGGAACCAGCCATTCCTTCATTAGCCATGCTCTCTTTATGCCCTCTAGTGCATATATTTTGAATGGACCTTCAGGGGAAAGATCCAAATAGTTTTGCTATGGCTATAGTCTGTTTCCACTGGTAGAAATGGAAGCAAGCTCAACTAGCTTAGAGGAGCTTAATAATAAGCCAGGCAACAACAGGTATTGACAACTTTCTATCTGATCAGTTCATTGCTAGGCATTTTGAATGATATAGAAGAAATGCAAAACTCCATCTGAGTGACAATTTGCTCCTCAATAAAATGCAGATAAAACAGCAACCACCTTGCCTGAATGTTGTGAAAACAAGAAATAGCATGTGTAAGTGGAAGTAGCATGGTGAATGCTACATATGAGATGCCTAATAAATAATGACTGTTATTAATGATAATTAATTTATAATTCTCATGAGAGAGGAACATCATCATGAAATAATTGATGTGCCAAACAAGGAAGTATGAAATTAATCTGCATCCTGAATGAACCACCCAACTTTCACAGATCATTTAAAAAGGGGCCTGCAATTACACTCTTCTGATCCTTTTGGTTAAAAGGCATTCTATAAAAACCTAAGTATAAGAAGACTAAAATTCTGCTGCTTTCAGCTGTAGAGGATGATGAAATTGTACCCAAGGGTGCCTTTTAATAAAGTTCACTTTATTATTCTCTAATGCATTTTAGCAAGCTTCACTGGCTATAACCATGACTTTCTTAAATGAGAGATCCTTTTTCTTTTCAGACGAGGAAATCAAGATTTCTTATCATAATTGGGGATGTCTGGAGGGCAGACTTATACTCTGATTGTTCAGTGGCTGGGCTACTATTCTAGACCAGTTAACTGGCTTCACTAACCTATAGGACTTGCTATAGAAAAATAAAGCCATATATGTGATGATTATTTGGAAAATATACAGTTCTAGAATTTCCTTTACCAGAGAGCTTCTGGGGCTCCTGTCTGAATAGCCTGGATTTTTTTTAAATTTTCTTATCATAAATTAAATAATTTTGATATTCATAGAACAAAATGCATCAATGAACCCATAAGATGGCTGTTGTCTGGTTTAGAATGAAGCACAGTGCAACTGATTCATTGAAGACTTCTTTCACTTTTGTGTCTGAAGCACATGAATTTAGCTGTTAAAAGAAAGATTAGAGGTGTATCCAACCGATGATGTAATGTGATTTTCAACATTAAAGTCTGACTCTATTATTCTAGGTCCTCCTATGTTAGATGGGCTATGAGAGCAAATATAATGGTGCATAATTTATAAATTTGGATTCTCCTCCTCTTTTCTTTTTGTTCTTCTTCTTGTTCTCAAGAATGAACAAAACATATACTTTTAAAAAGAAAGTCTATTTATGTTAAGGAATAGACAAGGCACAAATCATTCATTCCCTTGGTATTTACAAATTTAATTTTAAAGACTAACGTTATTCTGAATAGTCACTGATCCCCAGAGTTTTATCTCTGTAAGTGACTTCTTGTTAAAATGGAGATTGAACTCTAAATTTGCAATTCCCATTGGGCTGCAATTACCATATTTATTCACATAACCTACCTGTTATTTTTACTGTGAAATTGGGAAATGATATTACGTAAGCATCTGCCTGCTGGTCTAACCATAATTTTAGGGAGTATTACTGATATCATAAATCAGTTTCCCTGATATTTTAAAAAAGTTTCATACTTTGGCATAGTAAGAAATCTAAGATAAAGATTAATTGGAGTTCAAATGACTCCACAGATATTTTTCAATATGTTTTTTCTTTTTTATAGTATGGAAAAAAACTCTATTTAATGAAGCAGTACTTGTCCATTAAAGAAATGATTTTAAAAAATATTGGGGGGTCATATTTACATTTAATACAGCTAGATAAATGTAGACAGTAAATCTAATAACTCTTTCTTCCTCTGTCCCAACCTATAGCAAGATAGGGTAGAGAAAATGGACTATTTGTAACATTTAATGATTTGCCTATTTATAGCAAGTAAAAAGTAAGTTCAGCTTATCTTAACTTCTGACTGCTTGGTTATTTTAAATTATAAAATTAAAATACTGTGTGTGCTCCCATCCACACATCTTAAGGAAATCAAAATGAAAAGCTACATTAAATTTCATTTCAAACTGTGATGAGGTTATGAGTAGAGGTATATGTAGAAATATACAGTAATCTGTTTTAGGAAAATATAAAAATTTAATTTCGATAGACTTCTTCACTCTACCCTTCAACTCTGAATCACTTGATTTTGTTTTCCATACTAGATGACTTTGTGCTAACTGGTAGCCCAAAGATGGCTAAGGGTGACAAGAGGAACAAGGAGGGTGTAGTCTCCATTACCCTCCAAAGCCTCTAAAATTAATAAAATCTAAGAGAAAAAATGTGTTTTTGTACAACTATACCTTCAATACAAGTCCCTGAAGAATTTTAAAAATATATTTATTTTTTTTATGTGCTTGACCCTATTACTTTTTTCTAAAATACTCCAATAAACCAAATACAAACCTATCAATATTTCTTTCTAATCACTCCAAAACAGCTAAAACTTTCCATCAATTCCATTCCTTTCTCAGAGACCATCATGCCTTTACCTTCCTACATCAATCTGGACCTTTTGCTTTAGATACCTATGTATAGTTATTTTTCTGGGAATTCCATTTACCCTTCTCCCGTGTTTGACCTCCTGTTACTTGGATCCTTTTTTTTTTTTCATTGTGGTTTACACCCCCCAAAGGTTGCTTAAGCATATCTTTCAGTTGTTTCTTTCTTTTTTTTTTACACCATAAATATATAATTTTTATTTGTCTGTTATACTTAAAGCTAAAAAGATATGACCCATTTTAGAAAAGTGTTTTTTTTTTTGCTTTTGAAATTTGGCATTTTTTTTAAATTTTATTATTATTATACTTTAAGTTTTAGGGTACGTGTGCACAATGCGCAGGTTAGTTACATATGTATACATGTGCCGTGCTGGTGCGCTGCACCCATTAACTCATCATTTAGCATTAGGTATATCTCCTAATGCTATCCCTCCCCCCTCCCCCCACCCCACAACAGTCCCCAGAGTGTGATGTTCCCCTTCCGGTGTCCATGTGTTCTCATTGTTCAATTCCCACCTATGAGTGAGAACATGCGGTGTTTGGTTTTTTGTCCTTGAGATAGTTTACTGAGAATGATGATTTCCAATTTCATCCATGTCCCTACAAAGGACATGAACTCATCCTTTTTTATGGCTGCATAGTATTCCATGGTGTATATGTGCCACATTTTCTTAATCCAGTCTATCATTGTTGGACATTTGGGTTGGTTCCAAGTCTTTGCTATTGTGAATAATGCCGCAATAAACATACGTGTGCATGTGTCTTTATAGCAGCATGATTATAGTCCTTTGGGTATATACCCAGTAATGGGATGGCTGGGTCAAATGGTATTTCTAGTTCTAGAAAACCCCATTGTCTCAGCCCAAAATCTCCTTAAGCTGATAAGCAACTTCAGCAAAGTCTCAGGATACAAAATCAATGTACAAAAATCATAACCATTCTCATACACCAATAACAGACAAACAGAGAGCCAAATCATGAGTGAACTCCCATTCACAATTGCTTCAAAGAGAATAAAATACCTAGGAATCCAACTTAGAAGGGATGTGAAGGACCTCTTCAAGGAGAACTACAAACCACTGCTCAAGGAAATAAAAGAGGATACAAACAAATGGAAGAACATTCCATGCTCATGGGTAGGAAGAATCAATATCGTGAAAATGGCCATACTGCCCAAGTCATTTATGGATTCAATGCCATCCCCATCAAGCTACTAATGACTTTCTTCACAGAATTGGAAAAACTACTTTAAAGTTCATATGGAACCAAAAAAGAGCCCGCATCACCAAGTCAATCCTAAGCCAAAGAACAAAGCTGGAGGCATCACACTACCTGACTTCAACTATACTACAAGGCTACAGTAACCAAAACAGCATGGTACTGGTACCAAAACAGAGATGTAGATCAGTTGTTTCTTATGAAAGATTAGACGGGAAGTGATTTAAAAAATACTTTGCCTGTCTGAAATTATCTGATTATCCCTTCATGCTTTACTGACAGTTTGGATGAATATAGAATTCTAAGTTGAAAATTCTTTTTCCCCTAGAACTTTGGAGGTTTCTCTTTTCTAGCATGCAGGTATTCAACGCTGTTTTGAGAACTACAATGTCATTCTTATTCTCATCTCCTAGTGTATGACCTGGGATTACCACTGCCCTCCCTGCTGTCTACACCCCTTGGGTTTAGAATATTTAGCTTGGTTATTCTATAATTTTACCATGACATGCTTCACAGTAGAGGTCTTTTAAAAAATCCATATGTTGAGAAAACATTGGATACTTTCAACTTGGTGAATCATGTCCTTCAGTTCTAGGAAGATTTTCTCTTGTTATATCTGTGTTATTTTCATTCCTTAGATTTTTTTAAAGTGTCTCTTTCTCCTGTCTTTTTTAAATAAGTCATTTTTAGTGAGATATTGGATATCTTGGATTAATTCTTTCACTTAAAAAATTTTTTCTTATTATCACTTTGTCTTTTTGTTCTGTTTTTTATGTTTTTTCAACTTTATCCTTCATCCCTCCTCTTGCATTTTGTCTATCTGCTATAATATTTTAAATATCCAGGATCTTTATATTTTCTCTGCATATTCTATTTTTGAAATAACATCTTGTTGTAATTTCATAAATCTAATATTTTAAAATTCTCTCTGATTTGTATCTTTTTTGTTTCTTTTTTTTTTTTTTGTAACTGTTCCTTATATGTCTGGTCATCCTTGACTATCTGAGTTGTGCTATAAGAAGCTCTATGGGCAGTCCTGTGTCAGTATGTGTGCAGTGGAGGTGCTAGTTGGTTCAGGAGCTTCATAACAGGATGATAGGGTGATTGGATAATGGGATAGCTGTATTTTGGAATGCCAACCTCCACATATCATTATATGTGGGTATTTTCTCAAGCACCATTATGTTTCTCCAAAGCAGAATACTTCAATTTTAGTCTTTGTTCTCGTACCCTGGAAGTAGGAAGTTTGTGTCTAGGAAAGATAGATCTGAGTCCCTTTTCTCATAATTTCTTACTAGTGCCTCACTTCAGCACTCCTTTCTTTTGATATTCTTGATTTTTAGTTCAATTTCTCTGAAGTTTTACACCTCTAATCTCTTGTAAGAATGGGGGAAAGGTGGTCTTATAGCTATATATGAACATGGAAAGCGATTTGGTGACCTAAACATATCTTAGAGACTTTCAAACAATCCCCCTATTTTCAGCGTGAAGACCTTTTTTTTTTTTTTTAAGTTCTGTATACTGGTACATCCAAGTCCTGAGCCTTTCCAGGTTTTCAGAGGGGTGGGGGTGAACTGGCACATTTGTCACTGTCATCTAAGCTGTTGGCACATGATCTTCAGATTTTGCCATTTTGCCAACTCATCTACTTTCCATCTTCCAAAACTTTGTTGACATCTCTTAACCAATTTTACCTTTTCCTGTTCAATGTGTCTTTGTACTACTGAGTTTTAAAAATTTCTTAACTGCTATTTTAGAAGTGTTTTTGAAGGCAGCAGAGATACACTCTGAGTTCCATATGCCAGGTTTTTCCTGAAGACTAGGCTATATTTAAACACATGTTGATCATGAGATTTGTGTTAATATGAAAGTTGGTCTTATAATTAACTTCTAATATCAGAGTTCCACCAGACAAAAATGTTTCTTAATACATACATAATATAAGGTGGGATTCAACTTGAATGAGACCCTGAAGAATAAAAGATGGTATGGTTTTACTGGCGATATGCTATTAGGTTTGGGGCTGGGAATTAGATAGTATGAAAGCTGAACTTCTAGGAAATGATGACTTCATCTCCACCAACTGAAAGAAACATTTCCACAAATCATGTTATTTAATATTTCTTGTTTGAAAAAAGTATATAAAATAATATTTATACTAATACGTAAATGGCCAAAAAATTTACAAGAAAAATTTATAAGAATAAACCTCTGGTTGAAGCTTCTTTTTTCCCAACTACCTAAGTTTTATTTGTTTTCTTTTAAAACAGTTATTTAAAAACATTTATTTTATTTACACCATATATTTTCTTTGAAATATTTTATCACATATATTAAACTACGTATTCTCCCACAGTGGGGAAATGTGCTGAAAGTATCCTACGTCCTTGTGTGTACAGATGTGTGTTGTGTGTGTACAGTATGTATTATACATATGTAAACGTATGTTTTTGCCCTGCTCTCATTTAGGATGTTGTTGGATAAAGAGGACACCAAATTAACTTAAAATACATGTCTATTGGACTATTCCTTTGAGAGCACAGCATTATCATTGAGAAGTGGAAAATATAACAAATCTACAATGAGCATGTGGCATGCATAAGGATGGTTATGGTTCCATTTTGACATAATCTGGCTACAATAATAATGTTAAATCAATATGGCTTTTATGTTCTTGGTACTAATTGTATTTCCAACAATTGCAAACTATAAGTTATAACTGAATTGGCAAAAAGATGGTAATTCTTGTCTCTGTGACAGAAATGAAGCACGATTTTGCATTCAGGGACTATGTCTTTCTGTGACTAAAACAGAAATCAACTACAAAACTCCTGAAACCTACAAAACTATTGAAAGTTAGAGATAAGACCAGACAGTGATGTAATCTCTTTCATTTCAAACTAGAAACAAAAAGATACACATCTCATCAATTGACCCAAATGTTCACCCATTTTCTCACATACACCAATGTGATTATGATAAGAATTATTAGGTTGATTCATTTTGCTTGATAAAGTGTCAATAAATTCTTGCAGCTGCATTGGAGAGGATCCTCCTAGACCTCTCAACCTTTATCTGTGGCACAATAAATTTATTCAAAAACACTTATTTGAGCATACTATCTACTAGATACTCCTCTGGTGATCCAAAGAAGAATTATTTTTTCTTTATTTTTATTTATTATTATCTTGAGACAGGCTCTTTGCTGTGTTGCCCATGTTGGAGTGCAGTGTTACAAACATGGCTCACTGCAGCCTTCACTTCCTAGGCTCATACAATCCTCCCAACTCAGTCTCCAGTGTAGCTGGGACCACAGGTGTGTGCCATCACACCTGGTCTTTTTTTTTTTTTTCTTTTTTTTTTTGGCCCAAAGAAGAATCAGGTGCAGTCCTTACCCTCAAATTGTTCTCTATGGTTTGGAAAGTATAGACATATAAACATATTATTATAATAGAGTAGAGTAAGAGCTATTAGAAGTTTATTTAGTATGCTGCAGGATTCACTGAATGAGATGCATATACAACTCATAGTACCATGAAATAATACAGACTTTGGGGCAGCAATATGACGAATTTCATAGTGCTAATACATACATAGATGCATAGAAGTTGGGATAAAGTACGTAGAGAGAGGAGGCTACAAACAGGAAGGAATCAATCCACAAAAAGCTTTGTTCTGTTTGAAAAGCTTGGCCCTAAGCAGGAATAAGACACTAAATAGTCTGCATTTTAGAATCGTCTTTCTAGCAGCATAAAAACTGTAGATAGGACTCAAGTGTTTGTTCTAGAACGACAAATCTATCCATTCAAACAAAGGGACCCAGTTATATAAGCACAGATGATCCTTTTCACAGAAGGACTGGAGAGACTCCCTTTGCTGGGGAAGCTGTTGTGCTCTTACTGACTTCTGGGTAAAATTTCTTACCTGAAGTCATGGGAGAGGACGTTAAATGTAATCACTTTAAACAATAGAAAACAAGTATCATTTTAAAATCAGAAATTTAAAAAAATCTGCTTTAGAAAAACAGATACGAAAATTGATAAAGAAAGATGACAAGATGGCGGCTTTTCATGTTTTTAACTTTTAGGATGTTTACTTATCCTATGTTCTAGCCAAGAAAGCCACAGTCCATGAGAGTCTGTTAGGTAACACAGGCCTTCTCCCCTTCATTTTATTTATTTATTTATTTATTTATTTATTTATTTATTTATTTATTTTTGAGACAGAGTCTCACTCTGTTGCCCAGGCTGGAGTCCAGTGGCCGATCTTGGCTCACTGCAAGCTCCGCCTCCCCAGTTCATGTCACTCTCCTGCCTCAGCCTCCCGAGTAGCTGGGACTACAGGCTCCCGCCACCACACCCGGCTAATTTTTTGTATTTTTATTAGAGACGGGGTTTCACCGTGTTAGCCAGGATGGTCTCATCTCCTGACCTTGTGATCCACCCGTCTCGGCCTCCCAAAGTCCTGGGATTACAGGCATGAGCCACCGCGCCCGGCCTCCCCTTCATTATTTAGTGAAAACGCATTCTAGTGTGTCAATCTGACAATTCTATGGAAAAAAAGGATGGAGTTAACTTTGTACCTATTATGCTGCTGACCTTTGTTTTTGATGCAAGAAAGGAAGTGTGAAGAAATCAAACAGTAGAATTCTGGGTTAAAATATTCCAACTGCTATTTAACATAATTTTGGCATTTGCAAAGATTTTTAATTCGTCTCCTTAGTTATTACTGGGATTTGCTGGTAATATGATTTTAAATATACTCTGTTACTATAACTATTTTTGAGAACCCTTGTAAAACCTTATGTTTTTCCTCTCTTTAACCATAATATTAATTAAGGAAGCATGTCAGGTAAAGCATAAGGACAATTTTGCTTAAGATAAATTTTATATCATTGAGCTTGTTGTAAAAACAAGGGGAAAATCTGATATCATATAAATACACTTAAATGAAGAACTAAAGTAGTGTTTGGCATAACAGCTTCAGATGAAATCTATTTGAAAGACAAAACAAACAATAACAACAAAACCCATATAATCAGGCTAATGTATGTATAAAAATAGTAGAACTTGCTCTAAAAGTACAAATCATTCTCTCATTCACCTAAAATTTTATTTAGGATTTTTTTTCCAATATCTATCTCAATATTTTGTTTGATATTTACAATGCACTTTATATACACAGCATCAAAATCTTACCAAAAATTACCAGGAATATGATATGCTTAAGGAGAGAGAAATTGAGAATTAATAAAAGTTGACTAGTTCTAAGTCACAGAAAGGCTAGACTTAACCCCAACAGAATTGAAATATTGGGTTGCAGAGCTTTCACAATCCTAAAGGTAGTGTCTAAAGGCTCCACAAATTTCAGCAGTTCTTTCTATTTTATTTTATTTTATTTTATTTTAAGTTCCAGGGTACATGTGAAGGATGTGCAGGTTTGTTACATAGGTAAATGTGTGCCATAGGGGTTTTCAGCAGTTATTTTAATTTAAAACTGGAAAGGAGGAAAAGTATATGAAGATAAGAAGCAAGTTGGTATGGAGAAAAAAAAATTAGAACTGTAAAAATTTTTATGAGTGCTTAGAAATAAGAAACAAGTAGAATGATGATTTGTGTTAGAGTTAATATAATTTAGATGTAGATGACATTGGTGTATCTGTGGATAAAACTGGAGGATTTCATTCTGTGATGTATGTGCCAATTTGGAAATATTCTAGCTCACATCTAGGCATAAAGCATTTTTTGGATGCTTTGGCCACATAACGAGTATAAGGACAGATTGCAAAAATACTAGATAATAAGCTATAATTTATACTAATCGTCATAAATTCTCTCCAAATTTTCACTAGCCTGCTTTCAAGGAGTTATGAGAATTTTAGGTTGACTTGGTGCCTCTACGGAGGGATCCTGAGTAATTTTTTGCTCCGTACAGTTCTCTTAGGCCTTCCCTTTAAAGAGACTTGGAGTTACAGAAATGTCCTAAACATGACCAGCCTGACAAAGATGGAAATTTTTAGGAGTTGCCTTAGGGGAAACTACAATTGTGAATGGTTAGAAAATCATTCAAGATTTCAGCAATTCCTCCTACAAGTCCCAGATTTCTGAAAAGAGGCCAAAATCTGAACAAATTCAGTAGATGGTTGATGCAGTTTCTAAAACAATGTTAGAAAGTAACAGATTCAACATATCTTTGACCAATATTTTCCAAGCCTAAAAGAAAGTAAGACACAATGGATAGAAATCAGACTATGAACAAAAGTTAGAATTTTAATACAAATGGGACAACATTATCCATAAGACTTTTTGAGTTACTGATGCACATTGACATGCTATAGGATATTCCATTCTCACCTTTTATCCCCCTGCTCTGTGTCTGGTGAGTTCAACATTTATTGACTGCATCAGCTAGGCTCTCTTGCTTTGTGGCTTCTTGTTAGTTCAGGTAATGGGAAATACCAGCAGAATATTAGAAGATAAAAGGAAAGAGGAGTTCTGTTATTTATTTCCCTGGCTCTCTATCTGCCAGTGCACATGTTTTCACATGTTGCTTTTCTGCACTTGAGGTTAGGTTCTTACTGAGTGGCCCTCTTCAACAGTGCAGATCTTTCTGGGTTCTGATAACCTTATCAACTCAAAGTGTGGAAGTTGCTTCCAGTTAACCCAGGATGATCCTTGATCCTTTCATCTTGTCCATCCCTCTGTAAATAGTCAATTTATTAAGCTCTCCTCTATTAAGAACACTCTTTTTGAGTGTGCCATCAGTTGCTGACAAGATCTTGGGTGATAAACATGCACTGGATTGTCATGTGATCATTTTTACATGTGAGATGGGCTAGTGATTGGCAGACAAATATTATCCGCTTATTGCACAACAGCCACCAAGGGCGTCCTCACGAAAGTATGAATAAATACCATTATTTTTAAATTTTAATGATTAATATTGATTATTTTGGTACAGAAAACATTTCCTTTGGCCTAGGATTCATATGTAGCATGCTCATAATTTAGATTGCCCTAGTTAAAAATGCTATGATATGTGTATCCTGGTTACCTTAGAGACTGTGTCTCCTAAGTAGAGAGTGGCAATTCTAGTCTGTAGGGGTGCTCAGAAATAGTATCTGTTTTTGAACTCCAGGAAGATACAAAAGTGGGGGGAGTCTTTTCAGGAATCATCAGTCGTAGCTTCTCCTCATTTACATGGTCTCACGTATCCCAACACACTCTTTTTTGGGGGAAATAGCTTATAATTCATCTATTATTCTCACATCCTGGAAGACTAGTAAGCCTGGAGCTTTTCATTTAAATATCATAGAATTAAGTGGTTATTTGAGAAAACAGACCTATGGATAAATATATGGTAAAATACATATTAACTGCAGCATATAATTACATAGGATATAAGGATATAATTACCTCTGTGGTTGTTATAGGCCAAACAATAGTAGAGAAGTGAGGTGTACATTAAGAAAAAACTGTGTTATTCAAAGGCCTAAGACTCAGAATGCAGTAGCAAAGAAAGAGGGTCACATGCTATTCCCTGCCAGAGTAGCTAAGAATACATCCCTATTCCCTGAAGATTCTGCCTCTTACAATAGGAAATGCCCATTGTACTTCAGTGGTACTTTAGTAAACTAGTATAATGATAACTCTACACCCTACAGCTCTTTCAACAAATATTTTTCATTTTCCTTAGTGAGAACAAATTAAGATGTTCTTTCTCTGATGTGATTTTCAATTCTAGTTCAAAGTTAGGATTTCAGGGAAGGCCCTGGCACTGGTTCTTTTGATGGTATCTGTTGTGGCAAAGAGACTCTAAGGTCTTTCCTTTGGTCTCTTTCTCCTGGTGTCCAGATTGTATAATCCTGTCCCACTGAGTGTGGGCAGGACCTGTGACATATTTCTAACCAATAGAACTTGGTAAAGATGATAGGATTTTACTCTCTTGATTATGAATCATTATATAAGCCTCCACCTTGCTATCAGTCTGGTAATAGGAAGTGTCCCTTTCCCTTTCTGACTTTAAAGAAGCAAGGTACCATGTTGTGAGAGGGCCTATGGAAAAAGCTATAGTCAAGGAACTTCAGGCAGCTCCTGGAGCTGAGAGTAGCCTCTAGCCAACAGCCAAAGCCAAAGCCCTCAGTCTTACAGCCACAGGAAATGAATTCTGCCAACAACTTGAGTAAACTTGGAAGAGAATCCATCACCAGTTAAGCCTCCAGATGAGAACCAAGCCCTGGCTGACACACTGCATTCTTGCAGAGGACCCAACTAAGACATTTCCTACCTTAAAGTGAGAGATAATAAATATATTTTGTGTTAATCTGCTGAGTTTCTTACAATCATAGAACACTAACAAACCTGCCCAATACGTACTTAGTTAATAAACATTGACTGAGTGAGGACCATAAGCCAAGCATTATTCACCATATTTAAGATGACTGTAGAAGCAAGAAATCCATGCATGAAAGGGAGTTATGTAGGCAAATTCCATAGGCGGTATAAGTGTCTAAAAATATCAAATGGGTAAGATGCTTTCCTTTCACATGCAGACAGGGAAAACTATTTGCAATGTCTAATGACTGTTCTACTTTAAGTGGATGTGAGAACAAAACAGACTTTGAAGGAGATTTACAGAATAGTATTGAAATTTTTTTATCAAGTTCTATCAATTAAAGTTTGATGCCATATGTATGTATTTTTGCCATTCTGCCATCCAGGATAAGAAATTGCTATTTTCTGCCATATGAGGGTGTATATTCTTGCCACTATATCCTGTAACATCAGGCAGAGATAAAACTTCACAAAACTCAGCAATGCTAAAAGAAAATCTGTGACTTGCCTTTGTATTCACTATCTACTGGCCTACATCTCTAGAAATCTATATCCAATTTATACCAGACAGTTGGTCACAGTCTTAGGTGAAATTTTCAGCAAAATTTTGAGTGTCTAAATTTTTTGAATGAAAAAAATAAACACAACAGATGACACTAACAGCGGCAGAAAGAAAAGACGTTAAAGGGGGGGATGCAGATAGCACAGATAATCTTGTTTGTTTGCTTGTTTGTTTTTTAAGCACCAATGCTATTTGAAAATTCTTGCTAGCTCTTATTTTTTTTTCTGTTTTTTGTTTTTTCAATATCTGAGGCATTGGGGGTTTACATCAAAGTAACAAAAGAATGACTGAACTCCGATGAAGCGTTTCTGAAGCAATAATTAATATACGAGGCCACCGACACTAGAATTAATCTTGAAAACCACTCTCAAGGTGATGGGCAAAATAAATGCGCCATGGGAGTGCCCCCAGAATGCTGCACTGACATTGTTGGGTCCTATCATTGATCATTGATGATAGCAAAGAAGCGATCAGTCACAAGGCAGAACTAATAATAGACTTCAAATATGGAAGGAACCTTACTTCTATGTTTGGTAACAGTCCATGTTTAACAAATAGTGTTTTTTTGTGTGTTTGTTTGTTTTCTTTTGCTTTGCTTTTTCCTGCTCCAATGGACAAAAGCAACAAGTCTCTTTCTCTTTCTTTCCGTGGGATAAAAGACCTTGCTATATTCTCTGTATATATGCATTGCAGGCAGCATTGGAGGGCAGTTAATTAACTATAATGACCAAGTGTATGGGCATTTCATTGCATACAGAAGCAACTCTGCCCTGATTCAAGCAGCCAAGTCGACTCAAAACTCAGGAAATGCTTACGTATAACAGGTATGGGGATGTACCCACTGTTTTTTCCAGTGGTGGTGAAGGTGCCATTGTCAACATTGGTTTAATCCTTGGAGTCCCACTAATTAAACCATTTCTTTCTTTCACAAAAGGGCCTCTACTGGCCTGAAAGTATCAACGTGCAAGGTGAGGTTCCCAGATAAAATGGATCTTTTGTTGGGTGCATCTTGCAGTTTAACCAATCTCACTATAAGACTGGACTCTGAGTGCTCCCTCACTCTTGAACTCTTGGCTGCTGCATTTTTGTCTACTTGATATCTTCTGATGTTCATAATAAGTACTTGTTGTAGATAACACCATTTTTCTATAATAAGTAAATCGTAAGCTCTATGTAATACTCAGAGAGGAATAGTATCTGTTTTTGGAATTAAAGAGCAAAATGAATAACTGTTTGGTCCATGCTATTACCTCGTTTTTTTTTGTTTGTTTGTTTGTTTTTTTTTTTTCTGGAAGCATTTATTTGAGTTTCATGAGCAAAGCTGATATCTTTGAATAAAACTTCTCCACGATCTTTCATTCTCACAATCTGAACAGAAATGTGCTTATGTTGTGTAAATTAGATTCCTTTTATTGTGTAAGACTCCAAAGATTTGTCAATAATATTTTTGCTTTTAGTCATGCCCTTAAAAATGTCACCTAATAGTACAGCTTTTTACTTTGAACTTTTCTACATACTAAATTCAGTTTTATAAAAGTGTTAATATGAACGATACATATGTGATTACCTAGAGTGAATAAGATCACAATCAATCCAGAAGAAAGCATTGTGTTTGTCTAGAGATTCCTTGCCAGGAATAATCCGAAGAGGAAATATGTGTGTTTATTTATGGTAATAACAATACAGCTGTCCAGCAATCAAGTTAACTTGACTGTCATCTTTATCAAGCAGTATATTTACATGGGAGACAATCTGAGGAAGGAGAAATCTATATTGTGTATGAACATGATGAAATGTATTTCTAAACACATTGAGCCTCTAATTTCTGAAGTAAGATGACTACTTAAAACACGATGTTTAGAAAGGGGTAGATTATACATTGACACACTTAAGACTCAATCATTTCAACCTTTCTCCAAAATCACTTTTTCAACATTATTTATTCTAAATATAGAATACAATATTTATTTCATTGAAAAGGGATAAAAGACCTTGCTATATTCTGTGTATACATGTATTTATAAGTGTGTGTGTAGGTATGTCTGTGTACATGTGAGTATATGTGTGTATAAATGAGTAGAGTAAGAATTACTTATGGATTTAAAAAAATGTTTTAACTATTTAAAATCAATTTGTGTAAAAAAAGAATAAGCCAGGTTTATTTTAACTAAATTAACTAGATAGCTTTTAAAAAAATTAAACAATCAATCAATCAATCATGAATGTGTCAGAGGCATTTAAACCAGAGCAACTCCATCTTGAATGGGGGCTGGTAAAACAATGTTGAGACCTACTGGGCTGTATTCTCAGAGGGTTAAGGCATTCTAAGTCACAGGATGAGATAGGAGGTCAACACAAGATACAGATCATAAAGACGTTGCTGATAAAATAGGTTGCAGTAAAGGAGCTGGCCAAAACCCACCAAAACCAAGATGGCCACAAGAGTGACCTCTGGTCGTCCTCACTGCTACACTCCCACCAGCGCCATGACAGTTTACAAATGCCATGGGAATGCCAGGAAGTTACCCTACATTGTCTGAAAAGGGGAGGCATGAATAATCCACTCCTTGTTTAGCATATCATCAAGAAATAACCATAAAAATGGGCAACCAGCTGCCTTCAGGGCTGCTCTGTCTATGGAGTAGCCATTCTTTTATTTCTTCACTTTCCTAATAAATTTGTTTTCACTTTACTCTATGGACTTGCCCTGAATTCTTTCTTGCATGAGATGCAACAACCCTCTCTTGGGTGGGGTCTGGATTGGGACCCCTTTGCTGTAACAAAATAATTTATTTTCATTTCTTTCTAATGACTTACTTTTTCTTAAAGAAGATGAAGAGAATGGAGCCTCAAAAGGACTGTTCAATGTACATTTGGATATAATAATTACCATCTTCCCTGACTTCAGCAAGTATACGTAGATCAACCACCAATTTTTGACCATAAACAGAAAATCAGGGGCACAAACTTTGTTGTTGTTATGGAGGTGAGGAATGCCAATAAGTAGAAAGAAAGTAGAGTTGGGTCTTCTCTCTGCTAAATGATCATAGGAATGCAGAAGAATTGGGCCTTAAAGCACAGGCAGCAGGACTTGAGGAATTTGCTGTTAACTGCCAAAGGAGGAAAGAGTTGTAGGATTAAAAAACATGCTCACTAATACTTTCCCACAGAGCTTGTCCAAGGCACAACTCTGAGACTGCCTTACTGCAGCCCCTTTCAGCAGGTGTCACCCTCCTTGGGAAGCGAAATTGCTTTTCCTCTCCCTCAAACATTTGTCTTTTATATTAGATGTTTTCTCCACACCAGTGTGGATAAAATTACTGTGACAATTTTCCCCCAAATAGTTGCACTAAAAATACTACATTTCACTGAGGAAGGCAGTAAAATACATTTGTAATATACATGGGCTGTGGAACAAGTTCTGGGTTCCAATTCCAATTCTTTCTCTTTTCTCTTTGTGTTACCTCAGTTATATTACTAACCCTTTATGAGAATCATCCAAAAATGGGGACAAACAGATATTCCTTAGATGATTGATTTGAGATTTACATGAGAGAATATATGTAAAACAAACCAGCCTAGTACTGGTTAAAATCGGGGAGATGGTCCTAGTTTTATTCCATTAGAGGAATATAAGGCACCCACAGCAGGATATTCTTATGAGGCTACACTCCAGATCCAGAGCAATGAGGCTGATGACTAAAGCTTCTTAAATGGTCGTTTGACCTACCCCCTAAATGACTTAAAAAATGATAATGTTGAATCACAAGTACAAACAACTGTAGCAGTCTTTGCAAAGTCATTTGGGTGGCTTCACTTGCAGGGAGCTAGAACCCAAGACTCCCCAGTTATGTCATCCAGCAATGTTGACCAAGTTCAAAGTACTTTCAGAATGACAACTTGCTCAAATACCGTAGCAATCCTGTCACTAGGCAGTATTCTCATTTTAAACATGAAAACATTGAGGAGCAGGAAGATAAAGTGGCTCTTAATGGTGGTGCTGGGATTTTACTCAGTATTTTGGATTTAGAGTCAATGGGCGTTTTCTCTTTTGCCCCCACAGAGCTCTACTCTATGGTTATAAAAAACAATGTATGGTGGCCTAGTAGTGATGTGTATTATAGATAATGAATCATAAATAACCAAATAATTTTCTCCAAGACACTGCGACTATTAGTAAGATTATCATCGCAACAAAGACCCTTTGTTGCGATGATAAATGATTAATACATAATAGCCACCCAAACCCATGAACAACAGCAACAACCATAAACGAACAACCATACTTTTCCAAGTGCTGCTAAAAAGGAATTTTTACTTGTTTTATCTTTATGCCAATGAAAAGAAAGGTCATCTTGCTGAATTTTTATGATTCATTCTTTGGATAGAAAAACTCAATTCTACAGGTTCCTTGGTAAATCTGTGTATTACAGTTGAGATCAGCACCACTGTTAATCTTTCCTTTGCCAGCAAATAGCAATTACAGGATAACTACAGGGTAATTCTAGGGCTTTGTGTCTTTGAACGCCGGAGTAATTTGAACCATTCTAACTGTAAATTTGAATTGTTTAACATATGCTTTCCGCAGAGTATAAATACATTTTAATGATTTATTTCACCTCCTTAAATGCACAATTTTCAGTTTTTTAGAATCAAGTGATTTCATAAATATAGAAAGTTTAGAACACTAGTAAGGAAACTTGAAATAAATCAAGAAACATTTTCTTCATTTAAACATGGCTTAAATTGAGCATAAAACAAGGTTCTCAGAAACATCGAATAATTGCATGATGACTAGAATTTTTTTCTTTTTCAATGAAATAGATAAAAATATTCAAGGCTTCTATTTATAAACCATTCAAGTTGTAGTTTAAATTACGTAAATTGTCAAATAAGTGAAAAAGCAAAAATTTAAAATGGAACTTTCTTCTACTTTTACCACTTTTTTCTTTCCCTTTCTCTTAGGCACTATTTATTGAATATCGTGTCTCTATATTTAGTTTCCAGTCTCTACTTACTACTTTGTATTTGTTCCACCTCTCTTTTGTTTCTTCCAAATATTTACAATGAAGTGCAAGTATATGTAATCTATTTGTTTACTCTATTTGTTTATTTTTATTTTTTGAAGATCTGTCGTCTTTCTTCTTTATTATTTTCAGTTCTTCCCTTACTCATTTGCTTTCCTTTTGACTGCACTTCACACTTTCTCTTTCCCAATCCATTAACTGAAGATTCCCTCATAACCATCCCAACACATCTCATTCCACTATTGGGTGGTTGTTGTATTGTTCATACTCTCTGGTGTTAACAGAATCATGGTTCCACACGAGGTGGAGTTTGGGGAAATGAATCAACTACTCACTGCTCACTAACCTACTCCATTGATAGGCTAGAGGTCACACTAAGACAATTTTTAAATAAAACGGTATATCTTATAAAAATCATCGTGTAAAAATTCAGTCTATAGATGTGTATTTGCTCTTCCACATAAAAACATACCCATTATTTAGGACTTGAAATTTCACTCCATCTATATACATAAAGACATAATATTTTTGTGTCTGCCTACTACATACAGAAAATTTATGTATATTTTTTAAGACTCCAAATAATTTGAAAGTGTTGAACGTTCACTTTTATTCCTTATACTCCATAATAAAATTTCTAACAATTTTAAGCTACAACCCACAGTAGTAAAGAAACACTATTAAGCAATAAAATAAATAAAATGTGAAAGCCAGGCACACAACCCAGTATGCTTTAAATCTTACTTGTTCTTTAGATCCCACGGGTGTTCACCAGACGTCTCCCTAAACAAAGAAGAAATGTGACAACAATTAAAATGTGAAAACGATGCTATTAAAATACTGCTCATTTAGGTGATGCATGTTTATATTACTTAGCTAGTGGAAATGTCAAATTCCAACAAGAAGTGAAATTGTTTGTATTTTGGCATTTCCTTTCACACTTATTGTTGTAAAAAAGCAACTTAAAATGTTCCTTTTAAAGCAACAAGAAGCAAAACATGTTATGATTGTTCTGGAAAAAGAAATGATAGTTTTAAAATATTTAATGTATCCCCTAATCAAAATTATATGTAGTAGAAAAGAAATAACATACAGAACCATCAAGTATCATTCAATAAAAACAAACTTGTGCTAGAAAAACCTATGAAGAATTCTTACAAAAGGGAGTATTTCTTGTGTTGAAAACCTTTGTTAAGATTTTAATTCCTTGGTAAACATACAGAAAGCCCATTGAGTTTCTTTGAACAACATCACAGGATTTTTATTATAGAAAGACAGAATCTACCAGACTATGATAATAATGTTATCAAGAAAGAAAGAAAAAGAAAGAAGAAAGAAAGAAAGAAAGAAAGAAAGAAAGAAAGAAAGAAAGAAAGAAAGAACGAAAGAAAGAAAGAAAGAAAGAATCTGAATTTTAAAATTAGGCTGAGGGCTTATTAAACTTTTAATTATATACCTCGAAGTTTGGCTGGGTGCAGTGGCTCATGCCTGTTATCCCAGGACTTGGGGAGGCCAAGGCAGGCAGATCACTTAAGGTCAGGAATTCAACACCAGCCTGGCCAACATGGTGAAACCCCATCTCTACTCAAAATACAAATAATTAGCCAGGCGTGGTCGTGTGCATCTGTAATCCCAGCTACTCAGGAGGCTGAGGCAGGAGAATCACTTGAACCCAGGAGGCGGAGGTTGCGGTGAGCCAAGGCTGTGCCACTGCACTCCATCCCAGGTGACAGAGTGACACTCCGTTTCAAAACAACAACAACAACATGGAAGTTTATTATTAATATAATTTTTTATCAACGTTGAGAAAGATACAAGTCCATGAAAGTGTTGTAGTGTTTCGGGAGTTTTATAATTTATAAGTAACTCTAAAAACTGGGCACCGATGTTGGCATTTTCTCAGTGATTTTCATTGAACTTGTTCACTTTTTTTTCTTTTTGGAAGAGTGGAAATGAAGAAATTAACCTGGACTCTATGTGAATAGCTGAGGCAAGTGGAGACATTAATTCATTTGTGTAAATTCCTAGAAAATAACAACTGATCTTGAGTTACATAAAGCTGATCAGTGGTGCTCTGCAGACATGGGAGGAGAAGAGAAGAGGGAGGTATTAAAAGGGCCATAAATAAACTTCTGGAGCTGACGGATATTATTGTTATCTTGATTGTGCTCAAGATTTTAAAGGCATATACATGTGTCTAAACTCATCAAATGGTATGCTTTAATGCATGCAGTATATTATATGATAATTATACCTTAATAAAGCTCTAAAAAAGTGGAAGGATGTGAAATATATATTTAATGTAGAGCATGAAATGCATGTATAAACCATTCAATAAATTAATGAGAGTTGGTACTCTTGCGATTTTTGTTTTAAAAGATTATCTGTTTGCTGTGTGATGACTAGATGGAGGAGACAGTGATTGGAAGCGGAGGTGAAATTTTGTAAGAAAGCTTGGACCACCATAATGACAGTTGACATAAAAGATGCTGGATTGATTCATGATATAGTTAGAAGGTACAAAGAAAAGGCTGGTTGAGGCATTGAATGTGAAGGTAAGACAAAATAAGGAACCAAGAATGATGGCCAGGTTTGTGGCTTGAACAACTGAGTGCACGTGCTGCCATTTTCTGAGGTGGTAAAGACTGAGAATATAATAAGATTTAAGTGGAATACAAGAATTCCATTTTGTACATATTATATTTGAAATGCCTGTGAGACAATCAAATGGAAATGTTAAGTTGGGTAAGTGTTTCTAGAAGCCAGAGGATAAGTCTGAGTTACACAACTGATTTTGAGAATTGCCAGCATATATCTAAGAGAGTGAGTGGCTGTCATGAAGTGGAAGCAAAGGTCATTGAATGAGAATAGATAAAAGCACCCAGAGTCAAGGTGCTAGATGACGTATCTACTCGGATGTATATATCCTCTAAATAACCAGAATGAGAGTGAAAAGCGGTTCTAGGGGCCAGAAGCTAATTTTAATTATTTCTTATGTTTTTTTAGAGACTACTTTCTAATCCTTACGTTTGAATGTTCACAATGTAGGCAGGACACAAAAACATAATATTTTAGCAATTAACCTAATGTGCTGCCAATTTAACCTTTAAATTATCCTCAAAGGTCTCTAAATGTCTAATTATTTAAGAGGTATTTTAAATCACTTCATCTAAAGTACATCTCTTAAATAAACATATCTTTTGTTACATAAACACCTTAAAAATCAAATTAGAAATGAAGTACAGTTATGTGCTGCATAACATATCAGTCAGCAATGGACTGCATATATGACAGTGGTTTCGTAAGCTTATAACAGAGCTGAAAAATTCTTATCATCTAGTGATGTGATAGCTGTTGTAATGTTATAGCACAGTGCATTACTCATAGCACATACAATTATGTATGGTACATCATATTTGATTGGTACAAAAGTAATTGCAGTTTTTGCCATTAAAAGTAATGGCATTAGTACTTGATAATAAATGATCAATGGTATTAATACTTGATAATCAATGACTATGTTACTGGTTTATGTATTTGCCATACTATGCTATACTTCATGTCATTATTTTAGAGTGTACTCTTTCTACTTAAAAAAAATGTTAACTACAGAATGGTCTCAGGTGGTATTCCAAAATAAGGCATTGCTGTCGTAGGAGATGACAGCTTCATTTGTGTTATTGCCCCTGAAGATCTTCTAGTGGGACAAGATGTAGATGTGGAAGAGAGTGTTACTGATGACTCTTACCATGTGTAGGCCTAGACTAATGTGTGTGTTTGTGTCTTAATTTTTAGTAAAAAAAAGTTTTAAGTACACAAAAAATTTAAAAAGAAAAAATGTATAGAATGATAATACAAAGAAATATTTTTGTACAGCTGTACAATGTGTGCTTTAAGCTAA
Organism: Homo sapiens; assembly: GCF_000001405.40. NCBI lineage: Eukaryota > Metazoa > Chordata > Mammalia > Primates > Hominidae > Homo > Homo sapiens. The sequence continues at coordinate 43,004 of NW_013171804.1, forward strand.
GTGTTATTACAAAAGAGTCAAAAAGTTTTAAAAAGTTTCTAAAGTAAAAAATCTTAGCTTACAATGAGAACACGTGGACACAGGGAGGGGAACATCACACACTGGGACATGTAGCGGGGTGGGGGGCAAGGGGAGGGAGAACATTAAGACAAATAGCTAATGCATGCGGGGCTTAAAACCTAGATGACCGGTTCATAGGTGCAGCAGACCATCATGGCACATGTATACCTATGTAACAAACCTGCACATTCTGCACATGTATCCCAGAACGTAAAGTAAAATAAAAATAAAAATAAAAGATAGTAAAAAAAAATGTTAGCTTACAGTAAGCTAAGGTTAACTGATTATTGAAGAAAGAAAATATTTTAAAATGCATTTACCGTAGCCTACGTGTGCAGGGTTTATAAAGTCTATAGTAATGTGCAGTCTTGTCCTTGTCCTCCATATTACTCACTGCTCACTCGTTGATTCACCTAGAGCAACTTCCAGTCCTGAAAGCTCCATTCATTGTAAGTGTCCTATGCAGGTGTACTATTTTTTATCTTTTATACCATATTTTTATTGTACCTTTTCCTTGTTTAGTTATATTTAGATACACATACACTGGCCAATGTGTTAGAGTTGCTTACAGTATTCAGCACAGTAACATTCTGTACAGGTTTGTGGCTTAAGAACAATAGGCTATACCACATACCATAAGTTTGTAGTAGGTTGAGCCATCTAGGTTTCTGTAAGTATGTTCTGTGATGTTTGCACCATGACAAAATCGCCCAAGGATGCATTTCTCAGAACGTATTCTTGTTAAGTGATGCATGACTGTATAGAGCTTTGCTAAGATTTTCAAAGAAGTCAACATAATTTGCAGAACTTGAACACTTTTTCTTTGCAACATGTGCATGGAATATGAAGAAGCTGTAATATGATTTGCTGAAAGTAGCTGCAAAATCTATATTGGAATATTCAAAAATGGTTGCTTTTACATATTCGTAGAGATCAGCCACAGAAACAGAGCAAACAATATTGGAATTATAGTGTATTATTATAGAAGGAAAATAAAATGTAGAAATTTCATGGCTGGCATGACTGGTATTTTTCAAAGTAATGTTCAGCCTGAGAATAAACCATGGTAGATTTGGTTTTGTTGGTTTCCCTTGGCTTTGAACATTAGGGGATGTTTGGAAGTCAACATCCCAGATTTTTGTTTCTTCTTTTGTAAAGTGGAACCTATACAAATAACTTCATGGGGTTTTGGTAGGAATAAGTGGGATAAAGTGCACACAAATGCTTTGTACAGTGTAAAGTACTATAGACTGCACAAATAACACCATCACAACAGTAAGTGAGACATCATAGCTAAATGTGGGACTTGATATTACTCAAAAGAAATATTCAGTGAACTGAATTTGTGTACTGCATTTAATTTCATTTAGAATTTTCCAAGTTGTTACTAAGGCCCAGAAATAAATATCAACTCTTCATATATTGATTAAATAAATGTGCATTACGTTTTTCTTTCTTTTTACTTTGCACACTTTGCTGAATATGAATTTTTGGCACACATGATAAACACAAAACGCCTAGGACCTGCTCTTTGTGGATTACTTGGACCGAAACACAATTATGAAATATGATTTTTCCATTTCCATTCTTCTATTTACACTTAGTTGCTTTTATTTAATCTTAAATTTCAACTTTTATTTTAGATACAAGGGGTCCATGTGCAGGTTTGTTACAGGGGTATATCGCATCCAGCTAGTGAGTATAGTACCCACTAGGCAGCTTTTCAGCTCACATCCCCCGCTCTCCCTCCCCCGTCTAATAATCCACAGTGTCTATTACTCCCATGTTCATGTCCATGTGTGCTCAATATTTAGCTCCACTTATAAGTGAGAAAATGAGGTATTTGGTTTCTTGTTCGTGAGTTAGTCTGCTTAGGATTACGGCCTCCATCTCCATCCATGTTGCTGCAAAGGACATGATTATTTTACTTGCTTTTTTAATCTTACAATTTACTTTCTTTTCTTCTTTTCTCTATTTCCTGTGATATTGCACAGCTTTCTCATTATCTCATCTTCGGTTAAGATTAAGTCATTAATCATCATTTTATACCTTTTTCTAAAAATAATACAAATTTTTATTTTTGTAAAAATAATTTAATATAATCACCATTGAAATTTACAAAATACATTGAAGAAAAAAGACAAAAATGAAAGTCATTCAAAATCCTACCACTGAGAGACAGCTGCTCTTGACTTTTGGGTATACAGCTACCCAGTCTCTTTTCTATGCATTAATATATATTTTATAAGTTCATTAATAGTGCTATGTTCTCTTTTTTACTTACTCTTCCATGAGTATTTTTAAATAATGTGAATGTTTTCCTACAATTTGTTTAGTTAGTGCATAGTTATTTTAAATTTTAATTTTATGGATGAAACATAATTTGTTAGACCTGTCGAAAAGGCTATTGTCGATTCTTTGTTTTTTTTTGTTTGTTTTTTTTTTTTCCTGTATAAACAGCCTTGTGATAAACATCCTTCAGGCTATATATTTGCATGAATCATGATTAATTCCTTAGGATGAATTGCTGGATGCAGTCAAGCTTGCATATTAAATTACAAAAATTATAATATCTATTGCCAAATTATACTCCAAAAAGGTAATAACATTTATCACTCCTACAAGCAAGATAGGAGAGTTCCAACTTCTCCACACTGAAGCTAATAGTAGATATTATCATTTTAAAATTTTTGCCAATTTGATAAATAAAATTATATCTTTTATTATTTTAATATGTGTTTCTTTGGTTACCAGTTCTGTTGAAAAGTTTATTTTTTCATTTGTGTTTATTAGTTTCTGAAATGCTCCTTCATGTATTGTTGCCTACTTATCTATTAGAGCACATGTCTTCTATAATTACTTGTAATAACTTTTTATATATTAAGGATATTGATTATAAACATAAAGATTTGATTTAAAAGACCAATAATGAGTTTAACATTTTCAGAATTAACATATGCCAAGATTCATCCTAAAAACCAAGGGAAAGTTTAACAGCTTTTTTACTTCAACTAGATGCAAAAGTGATTACAAATAGATGAATAAATTTAAGTAAAGTTTTATGCTTCATTTTTATTACCCCATTTTCATTCCAATTTGAATCAATGTTGCATTCAGTTTATCGTTGTTTAGTCCCTTGTAAATTTTTTGGATTGTTTACATAGATATATTTTTATTCACTAGTCCATCAGTTATATTTTACTTTTTCCCTTGAAAGTGTGCAAACATTTTTCATTGCTTTATTATTTTATGACTTTATTTTTCCTTTATTACCCTGAAAGAGCAAGATGGTGGGACTAAGTTTTTCTTGACATTTTTTCTAAAGAGGGAGGCTTTACTGGTATGGCTAAGATTAAGACAAGAGCCAGTCTGCAGTACTATCTTTGTGAAAGACTTTCCTATGTTCTGATAAGCTGACCAATGCTTTGTCTTAATGTTGATGTCATTGTATAGAATGTGACTTCTTTGAGCTCAGTAGCAAAATTGTGAATGTAATCTTAAGGGAATTCATGAGCAGATGTGTATTCCTGTGTATACTCCTCTAGACTTTGACTTAGACATTCTTATTCCCTGATAAAAGACTAGAAAACCCATGGAGCTTCAAAGATTGTAAACTAGCTAATATTCACTAGTGGTTAGTGAAGTATGCCACACCAACAATGAAGAGAACTGAAATAAAATATCTTACTTTACTATAATGCTTTATAATCTGTTCACTATCTCATGTAACACTCACAATAATTTGGGAGCGGGTAAGGAAGATATTGTAATGGAAAAAGCATGAGCTTTGAGGACATATTAATAGTCACATGATCTTGGGGAAGTCAATCTCTCAAAAAAGTCAGTCTCCTTTTCAGTAAAATAGATTAAAAAAAGAAAATAATACTTATCTTTCATAACTGCGTGATTAGAAAAAAATGTAATGGATATTTAGCACTTAATATTTACCTCATCATTTATTTATTCAACACACATATTTGAACATCTACCATGTGTTCTTTTCTAGACACTAGAAATTATAGTCCGCTCAGATAAACATTTTATGCTAATGGGTAACAGGTAATAAATGACAAAGAAAGAAAGAAAGAGAAAGACAGTTGGATGGATGGATAATTTCAGTGAGAACTAAGTGCCATGAAAAAAATAAAACAGGGTATTGTGGTAGTGAATGGGCAGCACTGGGTAATGCTACAGAGGATAGTCAGGAAGGCCTTATAGAGATGGCTGATAATTTGAGCTGAGATCTTAACAAAAGAAAGAACAGCCATGCCACAAGGAAGGGGTAAAGACCTCTAGAAAAAGCAATAAATGTAAAGGCTCTGGCACAGGGACCAGCTTTAGTGCTTGAAGAACACAAATGTGTCCAGTGTGGCTGCAGCATGTTGAGGCATGAAAAGCCTGGTTTAAGACAGGTAAGAGAGGAGGTGTAGGCCAGATGTTAGATTATGTAAGGCTTTGTAAGTCATGGTAAGTTGACCATAGTAAGGTAACAGAGAGCTACCATGATAATAATGAGGAAGACAATAAAGATCAAGCCTATTATCTGTTAGACAGTTTAAGAAACTGGGTCTTTCTTTGTCTAAATGTGACACAGCAAGGTAGTCATGGAGTCTGGTTTCCTGTCCAGGGTTTGTTCAGTTTTATTTTCTGTATGTTTTGTTGCTGCCTATAATAGTAATGTTTTTTCATCTTTTAAGCCCGAAGTTCATTCCTGCTCTTGATTTTTTTTGTTTCTATTTCTTTTTAAAGGTATTTGCCAGTTTTCTGCATCGACATTAATGCTGAAGAAGCATTTACAAGATTCAGTAGCTTTATGTAGGGATTAGATCTCTGAAATTCAAACTGCTTTATTTTCATAAGAACTATGATTAACAAACACCTTTATAGCTTTCTCATTCTCTACCGACCCCATTCTCCAAACCTCTTTTCTCTAAGCTGGACTCTCCTACTCCGACATTTTAGCCTTATCAGCCAAAGAAAGCAAGTTTCAATTCACATTCCAGGAAGGAATCTCCCCAGCCAGAGCTTCATCTCTTAAACTTACTTTTGTCTGTTTGAGCCTTCTGCTTGAGTGCTGATTTCTTTCTCCCAGTTATGGCTTTTCTCCTTCACTGGATACTCCCCTCTCTATCCTTGGCTCTGGCACCTGCTATGTCTGGTGTTCCGCCCATTACTATTTCAGATTGTACTTCAGCTTTCTTGCATGACATCTGGCATACATTCTGAATTTTGTCCAGCTCATTTACTACCTTCCCTCTCTGTTTTTCCAGGTGGATTTTCCAAATGTAACGATAAACCAAGAAAGAATTTGTTCCCCCACAAGGCTCTCTGCCTGCATTTAAATTAGCAATAATCTTAATTTTAAGAAGAATAGATAGATATACAATGTATATATCTGCATGTTCAGCTTTTATCCATTTGACAATAGCTGTTACCATGGAAAATGCACATGTACACTATACAAACACTGTAATTTCGTTTGTAGTGATAATGGAAGTTTCTAAAAATACTGATTGAGTTTAAGAATCTTTCTTTTTCTAAATTACTCTCATAAATATAAATTTTGGATTTTAGCATCAATATTATTAACAGGAAGAGTATAGTATAATATTAAGTGTTGATGTGGGGCTTTCAACCAAATTAATTTCCCTAATTCCAGTTATTGTACTGCATATTTGTATCATAAAAATCTTCAGGACCTATCTATCAAGAGGTCTTAATAAAATCAGAGTACATTTGAAAAGTCCTATCACATATCATTGAGGTGTTATGGGTTGTAATGGGGAACACTCAGGCTTAAAGGGAGAATAGGGTGTTTAGTGATGGTGAAGTTTGTTATCTCTAAGTACAGATTTCATTTATTTTACATTTTACATAAGATCTGCTTTGTCAAACTTATCCTAAATTTTTATGTTATTGAATCATGCCCTTCAAACTAACTGCCATTTGGTCTACTAACAGTTCTTGTCATATAAAGTGGTGGTAACATAAAAGAATCCCCTGTGATGAAAAACATATTAGCCACATTTAGTTTTTTTAGCCTGTACACAAGGACTCATTTCTTTAATCTGTAATTCTCTGAGTGAAATCTCATCAAGGGCTCCTTGTGTAAGTAAACATATACCCCACCATTGCATTTACCATTCCCTGACAAAGCATTTGCCACAGCCTTTCAACACATCCACAGAGTAACTGCACAAAACCTCCCTATCACAAACTGATGTTGGTTATCCCTTATCAAATCACTTTTTCCAACACGTTCTTTTATCAAAACTTCTAAATATGTTTCTGAGAATTCTTCCATACTGATAAGAAATTCAGACAATATTTGTTGAAGCTCACTAAATTATGTCTTCCGTAATACTATTATGCTCACCATATTCACTATATTTCAGCTATCAATATTCTCACCACTCCATATATAAATTGCAGAACTAAAATTATAGCAGGTCACCTGACTTTCTATTTAGTTTGTGTTACTTTTACATTTCTGATATTTCATTTATCCTTCTAAAACAGGAATGTATTACATTTTGGAAAATAAATCTTTACTAAAACCCAGAAACCTAAACTAACAATTAAATTTGTGACAGTACAGTGTGGTATCATAGTAATTGATATGTAAGACTTGATTAATAAAGTCTATTTATTTAATCCTATAGTAACTCCATTTTCTCATTACTCCATCAACAAATATTTACTCTGTCTTCTCTATGAAAGACATTATGCTAAGTGATATGAGGTACAGAGAGAAGAATTAGTCTTCAAGATATTGGCAGTCTGGCTAGGGTGCAGTTCTCATGCATTAATTACAGAAAGTAGCACATGGGAAATGCCAGCTGAGTGGTACAGCTAATGCGTCTCATGAGATGAAATCATAGTCTTGTGATGACTGGGGAAGTTTGCCCAGGCGAGTTAGAATTTAAGTGAGAGAGCCTTACATATTATTAGTATTTAATTACGATCGAAGGAGAACAGATAAAAAAAAGTAGAAGCATAAGCAAGGAATGAAAATGGGGGGCATAGAGTATTTTGTAGAGCTGCGTTGTCCAATATGGTAGCCACTAGTCACATATGGCTACAGAGCACTTCAACTGTGGCTAGTAAGAATTGAGATGTACAATTGTGAAGATTCAGTATGAAAAATAATATGAAATATCTCATTCATATTAGTCATTATTATCTATTAAAATGAGAATGTTTTAGCTATATTGGGTAAATATAACAATATTATTAACACTAACTTCACATATTTATTGTTACATTTTATAATATGACTACTAGAAAATTTAAATTATATACACGGTTCATATTTGCGACTTGCATTATATTTCTATTGGACAGTGTCAAGCTATTGAGTAACTGTTGGAAGGTTGAGATTATTAAATACGTATTTTTAAGAAAAGGAATCAGACTAAAAAGTGCTGATTGGTTAGGAGGGGCTAGAGATTAGAAATTTAAAAAATGATAACCTACTCAAGGCACCACACATGAGGTGACAAGGGCTAGATAAAGCAGGTGGCAATGGGAAAAATTGGGTAGCAGTGTACACTTTTTTTTGTGCCTAGCTACTTGCACTAAAAAAAATTATTTTAAATTGTTCCTAGTGCCAGAGACATTACAAAAGAAGACTTTCAGAATAATTAACACCAGTGACTAGGCATGGAGACAGGAAGAGGGAGGGTTCAAATATGCCTGAGACTGTAAACTGAGGAGGCAAGGAGAATGATGATGGAATTTGATGAGAAAACCTCTTTGGTGAGGAGAGGGTTATAAGTCCTGGAATGTACGGTAGTGGTGGAGAGCTGAGGATGATTCATCTCTCAGTGGAATGAAGAGTGTAAGGAACAGGTAGGTGGCTGAGTCTGATATAATGGTGGGACATCCAGGAGAAAATGTACTTAAGACTTCGGTAAAATGGATGTGGAGATCAGGGGAATGGTTAAATTGATGAAAGACATTTGATGACCACCTTGGTAGAATTGAATGTGGAATTCAAGGGTGACAGCACGATTTCAGGTGGTGACTCAATGGCAATTCTTTGATGCAGAGCCAGGAACTGAACCATGGGAAATACTGACATTTGATGGTTGAAAATGGATGATCTACAAAGATAAATTGATCAGTCAAGAAAATGGGAAGAGAACAGTGTGGGATCATGGAGCCTAAGGAAGAAAAAATGCCAACGAGAAAGAACTAGCTAACAGGAAATCTATGAAAGGATGTAGATGACATTTTATTATTTAGCATCAATATACTACCTGTCAGGAATGCAACCCTCAACCATGAAATCTCAGAAACAGCAGATGTTCCATGATTTGTCTTAGTGCCTTTGGATCACATGGGCCACACTTGGGCTTTTTTTTTTTTTTTTTTTTTTTTTTTTTTTTACAGATATCTTTATTCTTTTCTCATTCACTAGTAAGTATACCTATCAAATAAACTTTCTTCTGAAGAAGCTCAGACTTATTGTTTACTGTAGCATTTAATACCTGCGTCCTCAATCAACACTTACCACAGACAGACTGATATTATCTTTTTTGTGTACATACCAAGTCTCCTAACTTGAAAGCTATGTTTTTGTACTCCATCTGGCTGCCTCTCTAGGATTGCCCTTACTGCTTAAAATATACCATGCATAAAGGAAACAGAGCCAATAGAGAAAGATTTAGGGCTAAGGTTAGCAGGAATAATTGATCTGGGCTGTCAAGAGTCACGGTTCTCCCAAGAATCCATATGTCATCATTGTTTTTTTTATTTCTCCACCAGTTTTTATCCATTGTTTTTCTGTAGGACCTTTATTGTTGTTAGAGAGTGGAATCCACCTTTATTAATTCAACAAGGTGCTAAGATACTTAAAAGGTTATAAAAATGAATCCAATATGTATCCTGTATACTCTAGATTGCAATTTATATACATGTTTACATGTCTATTTTCCATACTTAAATCTAAGATCCTTGAGGACCTTAGATTCATTCATATGGTTCTTATTCATATGTAGTGGTGGAGTTCTGAGGATGATTCATCTCTCAGTGGAATGAAGAATGTAAGGAACAGGTAGATGGCTGAGTCTGATATAATGGTGGGACATCAAGGAGTGAACGTACTTAAGACTTTGGTAAAATGGACGTGGAAATAGGGGGAATGGTTAAATTGATGAGAGAGACTTGATGACCATCTTGGTAGAATTGAATGTGGAACTCAAGGGTGACAGTAAGATTTCATGTGGTGACTTGTTGATGGGTCTTTGATGCAGAGCCAGGAAATAAACCATATAAATACTTACTAGTATTATATTACTAATGCCTGAAAGGTCCTTGGCACCTAGTAGACTGTCAAATCACATTTGTTTAATGAATATAGTCATGTGTCACTTAATGACAGCGATTTATTCTGAGAAACGCATTGTTAGGCAATTCTGTTGTTGTGTGAACATCATAGAGTGTGCTTATACAAACCTAGATAGCATAGCCCACTACACAACTCGGCTATGCGGTATAGCCTATAGCTCCTAGGTCACAACGTGTACAGCACGTTACTGTATTGAATACTGTAGTCAATTGTAACAGAATATTTGTGTATCTAAACATATATAACCATAGAGAAGGGAATGTGTTGCACTATGACATAATGGTGACTATGACATTAGGAGAGAGAAAATTTTCAGCTCTATTATAATCTTAAGGGACCACCAATAAATACGTGGTCCATCAGTGACTGGAATGTTGTATATATAAATTAATGAAAGTGTGAATTTCTTCTTGAAGGAGACTGTAGTGAAGACAAAATTCATGCACAAATAATCAGAGTACAAATAGGAAAGAGACACCTGACAAAAGTACTCAGATAAAAACATATTAGGAGTTAGGTGAAAGAACAAAAAATGCCTCATAGGATAAATGGGACACGGCTTCCTGGACGTGCTGGCATTTGAGCAAGGGCAGAAGGATGGTAGAATTGGACAGTCAAAAAATGGGGCATTTTACTAAATGGAAGACTACCTATTGGTCTTATCTACAGATTTTGATTCTTTTATATTTATTAAGGATAATCACATATTTTTCATGTCTGGTTAGGTTTTATTTGAACTCCTGTAATCTTTTTTTTCATTATAAAAAGCTTTTTTTCCATAAAAAATTTCTTAAAATATGTAGCCACACAGCCGAGTTTTATTTTAAGGACAACAGCATTTTTACCTCCTGTTTTGCGTGAGGGTCTGTGGGTTGTAGGAGATGAGAAAAGAGAGTTCCCAGCTGCTACAGCTCAACAAAGCCCCTAAAAATGATGACTGCATCCATTTCCACCCAACGCCACATTCTGAAAGTGATCTTTTTGAAACGAGGATTGCAAATAGCTGCAGCTTCTCAAAACTGCAATTGCTTTTCATGGTGTGGCATTGCTGTCTTCATGCTGACACAGCTCTCAGCACTGACACCAGCCTGCCTATGAGCCGTTAAAGATATTTCACTTCCAACAATAAATATAAAGAGTATTATACAAAAACAGAGAGGCCTTGTTTTTAATAAGCTGAAATGGATGAAATGGGCAGTCATGGAGCAAAAATAATTATGAGGGAAGGAAATGGAGACAAAAATTAATGCCTCTCCCTCCCTTGCCCCCAAGGACTGCAGGCAATGTTCTGTACCTGTGGGTCATGCTCTGAAAAGATGCATAAATAGAGGTGAGAAATTGGTGCTAGAAAAAAAAAATATGATTAAAAGGATGTGACATTTTCTGCATATTCAATGTGCTCTGCTGGGAAGAACTTGTATAGTTCAGACAAGGTTTGCATCCCGGCTCTGGCCCTCACCAGGGTTTTATATTTTTCCTTGGCTAAATTGCTTAATCTTTCCAAGTTCAAGTTCCTGCAAATAGAGCTTATATTAATGACTTCTTAGGGTTGCAGTGAAGATACTGAGACAATATCTATAAACCTAGCTGGTTTGTACAAATATCTTGGCGTCTTCCCTTCCAGCCGGCCTTCTTGTCCCTTCCCCATGTGCACTAGGGAAACCTCTCTGTACGGGACTCTCAGACCAGCAGATACACTTCATATTATTGAAATGTGGGCTACATTATCTTTCACTGCAAAAATGGTACTAATCACCCACCATCTGTAGTGCTCATGCATGTACTTATCCTTTCCTAATGGAGATGCGTTTGTATGCTGGGATGGGCAGCTGTACTCTTTCCCTCTGTTCTCCCTTGACCTTCTTTTCTCATTTGGCTCACTGGGTATAGTCCATAGACATGACACATAATTTGGCAGTAATCATATCAGTGTTTTCCCACAGTGCATCCCTTTTCCAAGAATGTGTGACAGAGTTAGAAACACCAAACTTTATTGCTGGAGAAGGCTTTGGAAAATATATGATCCAAAGTCTCATAAAGAGGAGGAAACACAGGCCTAAGAATTAGCTGACTTGCCCAAGACATGAGGAAAGTTAATGGCTGGGTTCAGACTAGAATCCCTATTTCCGCTGCTCCACTCAGAGCTTTCCAATCATTCCCACATCTCAGAAAGGGGAATTCTTCCAGCTTTATCAGAAGAACATCCAACCGCAGTACATACAAATATTAAATGCAAGGCTAGCCACATGAGATTCTATAAAAGGATTCATCATTAGATGATTCTGATGGTGAATATCTTTTGGAAAATACTAGAGATAGATACTTCGAAAATTATTTTTCCCTTTTTTGATTGGCTGCAATTCTGAATGTGCCTGTGTTTAAACCAACCTCTCTACTGCTCTCCCCTCCCCTTCTCTTTCTCTGTCTCTCTCTATCTCTGTTCTTTTATTCTCTCTTGGGTTTAGTTACTTGCCCAGGTGGTCTCATTTAATGATTACACTATCTCAGGCATGAAACACCATGACTTTTTGCTGTTGGGACTGCAGTATGTAAATTGACTTGAGTCAATTGTACCTGATTTTCTAAATTGCCTCTGGTATAACAATTCTCCCACCCGTAATAACCCATTGAAATCAAACAATAGGATTGATTAAACATTCCTCACTCAGGGGGAAACTCCATTAATTTTACCTGAATAAAAACTGCAGAACAGTGCCCATTTTGGGGTAAGTAGTATACAAAATTCTCCAGGAAGCACAGTAGAAATAAACTTGAAAGGCTTAAATATTACTCTTTAGCCACAGGGAATAGAAGCAAATGGAATTTTATTTACAAGTCACATGAAGGAAAACAAAGGCATACTTAAGTGAGTATTGCACAGTGCACCAGATTTGGCAGGACTAACATTTACTCTGGCTTTTCTTCTGGGACAGAGCAGTAGAATATAGGTGAATCCTGGAACCTCTAGAGCTCTGTTAGGAATCCATATACAGCGTATCTGTCTCCAGGTTGGGATTTTCCAATTTCATGCCACAAGTAACCACTTGTTATGAGCTCTGGAATGGAGTCCCAGCTCTTCCACTCACTAGCTGTTTGATGGTGGACAAGTTATTTAAATTGTGAGTCTGAGGTTTTCAATGCCTAACCTGGGTTTAAAATACCTGCACTATGTGTCTCCCAAGGTTGTTGTGAACATCAAATGAAACTATGCAAAACAACTGATTTGAAGACGGTTAAGTGCATTGTAAACATGGGGAATAATTCTTATTTGAGGTAGTCTTTTTTTACTGAGCTTGTACATAATTCTATAAGATAAAGAGCTCAGCCAGTGGTGACGGCCTTTTCTTCCAAATCTAAATTCATATGTAGTGGCTGCAGTGTAGTCAGACTGTGGAGTCAGATTCACCCGTGTTCACATCACAGCTCCCCATTTACTAGCTCTGTGTCCAGAGGCGAGTTATCCATCTGCCCAGACTCATCTATAAAATGGGGATAGAAATAACACCTACCTCACAGGGCTGTTGTGAGACTCAGCAATGCAGTGCATGGGACAGGAACACCACTCAATGAATGCTACTTATTAATAGTAGAAAATAACTTCAACATGCAGGAATATTCATATGGTGCCTTTCTCTGAACCAATCAAGAACTTTCAGTGCCTGGTGCAGTCTGAAATCTTGGTCTGAGTTATTCAGAATTCTCATCTCTTTGCAGGAGGGACTTCTGGGGACCTGTAAGAGAACTAAGGTGATATTGTGGCTCATAGAGTCTGGATTCCTAGATGGTGAGCTTTTGGAGTGTGGGATTGGATTTTTTGCATCTCACTAAATATTTGTATTCATAGTGTCTAGCATAGAGTCTGGCACATGGTGTGTGGTCCTCTGCTCAGTGAACACTTTTGCATGAATGAAAAAAGAAATCTTTGCCTAGTGTAAGGATGTAAAGGAATGAAAAACAGGAGGCTTAATTCCTCCTGCTTAAAATAAGAGCTATTTTCCTTTCCTCCCTTTTTGTCAGAACGTGTACTGTAGAAAACCTGTATATAAAGTACCTTCTCTGTCTTTTTGAAATGTATCTTTCTAGACAGTAAATAAGCCTTCTGTCAGCTTTATTATTGAGGAATGTCTTTCTCAAAGACCTGAGAGTCATCTCTTTGAAATGTAAATATCAAAGGGGAAGGTGCCCCCATCCTACAATTTTCCATGGGAAGGCAGGAGCCTAACATCAGCTTGCGCCATGCTCCAAGTTATAAACCTCCCTCCCGTCATAGGGTGTTCCCCCCACCCCAACCCCACCCGCTTCCTCTCTCCTCTGGATACACCCAGTTAGCTAACATAGATGGTCACCTCAATTACCAGGTAAAGTTAAGATAGACTTTATGCCCAATGGTGCTGTCAAGTCCTCTTACTTGAGGACTAGTTATTGTTCATCTTGAAAATATGTGTGTAATTGGGTATATTTGCTTGGCTATATAAAAGGGTGTGATTTTTTTTTTCTTTCTGTGCACTTTCTTAGTGGAGTGGCTGTAATGCACATGACAGTCTGGTTTAATGCTTATTCAACAATAAAGGTGTTTCTTTCTCTACTGCATTTGTGGAGAGAATTTCTGGGTTGGGAGAAACATATTGAAACATATAGAAAGATATTTGAAGACTAATGCTAGTAGCTGAAGTGTTAATGTTTTTAAATACTAATGTGCTTAATCATTCTTACCTATTTATTTGTGTACCTATAAGCATTCAACTAATGTGCCTACCTCTTTTGAAACTTCACTAGGTTATTTTTCAAGTGTGTAAGATTTAAGACTTTCAACTGACTGACTCACTAATAAAGATTATTCTCCTTTTGCCATCCAAGGAAAGTCTTGCTTCAATAATCATAAATTCTTATTGGCCTCTGGATAGGATTGCCCTCCTCATTTGCAAATTTTCAGAAAATTAAAAAAAAAAAAAAACTTGGCAGGTTGTATGGAAACTAGGGATTTCCAGAACATTTCCTAAACAAAAGAGTAAATAATTAGTGCTCTTCTAAGTAGAGGAAGAATTTAAGACAGCTTACATAAATAAAATAAAATAAGCAAGTGAAGACACTGAGACAAAAAGGAAGTGATTGTTAAAAATATAGGGTCTTAATTGTCATAGCCAACAGCAACTTAAGGATACATGATATTAAATATAATGTAAATCCTAGATGGGATTCTGGAATAGCAAAAGGGCATTAAGTAAAAATTAAGAAAATCTGAATAGAATATGGACTTTAGTTAATCATAATGTGTCAATAGTAGTTTATTAATTGTATTGTAATAAAATGTACCATTTTAATGTTAGATGTTAATAGAGGAAACTGAGTATGAGTTATAAAGGAACTCTATGGCGGAGAGGGAGAATAGCTTAGACAAAGATGCTAGGTGAAAATTCTAAAATGTATTGTTTATCTTTACATCCATAATATTAAGATTATATTTAATAGTTTCCTTCCTCCTCTCCTGTTTGTCCCCATTTCTTACCTCTCTCCCCTGATACATATATATCCCACCCTGTTAATGAGATCTCAGCATGCCTCTTGGTTGAGCCTGCTCAAGTTTTGACAGGAACAAAGCAACAGAACACATCCAACATCAACAACTTTGTTCATTCTGTATTTTCTCATAGTTCAATGAACTGGGATGCTTCCAACTCTCCTTAAAAATGAAAGTTAAATTGGTTTGAACACAAATGCACAAAAACGTATGCTTCCACAGTGCAATCTACAAGGTTGGGTACTGGGTTAAAAATAAAATTTCATCTACACAATGGTATGTCCATTTAAGAAACCCGTTAATAACAGGAAGTAACTCACTCCGTGCCTGGAATCTGGAATTAAATCTAGGCCAAACTACAGAGCCTAACAATGTGTATCTCAGGCTAAAACAAATCCAGAATGTGGGAGTTGGAAAGGATTTTAGAGATAATTTAGTCCAAATCCTCCATTTTATGGTAGGGAAACTGAAGCTCAGGGAGGTTCCCTGATTTGTCAAAAGTTTCGCAAAATGTATGTTTATATGTCACTTTAATCCTATAAAGAGTCTGAGGAAGGACTAAAATAGAATGAACAAAGGATATAGAGACAATAGTTTGTGTTAGCAAACCTCACCTTAATGTTTCAACCATTAAGATGACCTTCTCCAGGGTGAACTTTTCAGCAGTACTAAGCTTTATAAATATAATGGATGGCAAAGATAGTTTGCTCTAGGACAGAGCACGATTACATGGTAAAACTTCCGTGCTGTGCTCTAAAAATTACTCTCTCAACCGCTAATTGAACTCTGAGGATTCTTTACCAGGAGAGATCAGTTTTATTCCATAACTAAGGGCTTAAGGTAAAAGTACCCTTGGAATGATTCTCTTTGTCTTTCCCTTCTTTACAAGATTTATCAGATGGTACAGAAAGGTGTCCAGCAAAAATGGCCACAGGGAAATCCACAGATCATCATAGGATTAAGCATTTAAGTAAGCTAGGAAGAGTGGAAAAAGTAGGCTTTTCACCAGGGCCAGATTGTTGGAGGGTCTTATTTCAGGGCACCTGGAAGCACAGTGAAAGCCACTGATTTTCACTGTGCTGACTACGTGAGCAGGGACTTGGGAAGCAGGAATGTGTGGTTTAGCATCTGGTTTGAGCCATGCAACTCTGGGAAAACTAATTAACTTTTTTGAAATTTAGTTCATCATCTATAAAATGAGAATAACTTCACAGAGTTGGGTAGAAGAGTGAAATTAATAAAATAAATAAAATATTGAAAACCTACAGCAAATGCTAACTACAGATTTGTTCCTTTCCCCTTTCTACATTCCTACTCTCTCTTCCATGTCTGGATTCAAAATCCTCTAGGATGTATATATATTTCCAAATAGTCACACAATGTAAGCTGAATAAGAAATCAAAAAAAAGATTGTGGGTGAGCAGGTGGGGAGAAACTGAGAAGGCAATGTATGTTTGATAGCACGTTAAGGAGCATGAGCCCAGATGGGCAGCTGGGACCTACCACAGGACAGTTTGGTCTAGGCTGGCTGGTCCATCGCCTTTCCTTCGTCTCAGATGTATTCATTTTACTTTCTTCAGCAAAATTCCCCCCACTTCGCTGTACTTCTAAACACCCCCACATAGAAATAACAGAGGCTGATAATACTGAACATGTACACGAACATGTATACAAACATGTACACAAACTGAGCATGTACACAAACACAATTCTTCACTTTAAGTGGGGGGCTAATTTAATATATGTTCAATGTTTGTGATAACGGTTTTTTTTTTTTTTTTTTTGAGATGGAGTTTCGCTCTTGTTGCCCAGGCTGGAAATCAGTGGTGTGATCTTGGCTCACTGAAACCTCCGCCTCTGGGTTCAAGTGCTTCTCCTGACTCAACCTCCCAAGTAGCTGGGATTACAGATGCCTACCACCACGCCCAGCTAATTTTTTTGTATTTTTAGTAGAGATGGGATTTCACCATGTTGGCCAGGCTGGTCTTGAACTCCTGACCTCAAGTGATCAGTCCGCCTCGGACTCCCACAGTGTTGGCATTACAGGCGTGAGCCACCCCGCCCAGCAGATAACTATTTTTTTTTAATTTAAAAATTTTTCCCTCCCAGGAAGGTTTTTTGTTGTTTGATATACTGAGTACCACTTACTTTTGTAAAAGCTTTTGCTGTATTTTCATGAGTATTACTTGTAAATAGCATAGGGTGGTGGTGAGCACCCCTATCTCCCACAAAATATTAAAGTAGAAAATAAAACAAGGTTGTGTTTTCAGAGTTAAGCTATGAAACAAAAAAAGAATTTAAGCATAGCTGTATACATTTCATACAACAAGCTATACACATGGATAGCTATACAAAGCTATACCTTAAACAGGAAGAATGACCTCCAGGCTAAGGCCAAACCTGGAATATAATTGAAGTTATTTGTATTTATGAAGAGAACTTGTCAATCAGAAGGACTGTTAGCTAGCAATGGAAATATGAGATGCTGAGAAACAAACATTGGTAGCGGAGGAATTCCTACCCCATTTAAGGGATGGGTTCACTAGCTTTAGAACCCAGGTATGAAATCCATCTGCAGATCTAATTCTGCAGCTAATTAGATCTGCAGTGAAGGTAGGTGTACTCCACATACTTATCTCGATGACTCTAATCATCGAACACAGAGGCCTACAAACTAAGGCCAGTGGGACCAAATCCAGCCCACCATCCTGCTTTTGTAAATAAGGTTTTTTGTGGAACACAACCATTGCCATTTGTTTACATGCTGTCTACACCTTTCTGCTACAAGAGTTGATCAGACACAGTTGTAATAGAAACTGCCTGGTCTATAAAGCCAAAAATATTTACTATCTGTCCCTTTACAGAAGTAGTTATTGACCCCTGATAATTCAGCCAACTTGCCTTGATTTCATGCTCACCCAACAATATTTTGACTCAATGTTGTTTGTTTATTCCTGAGAATATTTTGTACTGGGAAAGTAAGAGCTTGCAGAACAGTAATAAGCCAATATATTGAAAGTTGTATCTTTTTAAGTGATGGTAGACCTTCTGTGTAGACTAACAATTACAATATCTGAGCTCAAAGCTGGTGGGCTGACCTGTTGACTGTGGTGCCTACCCCCAATGTATTGTCACCTGGGCCTGTTTGGAGGTCAGCCTATTTTCTCTGTGTAATGTTGGAACTTCCTGTGCATTTTTTTTTTTCTGGCAGCATTTAAAAAATTCCTACTTTACAGATGAGGAAGCTACAATTCAGAGAAAGGAAAAATAAAACTAATATTTATTGAGGATCTACTCTGTGCTAGGCTCACAGATGTTCCTTAAGTAATGCCATTTAATCTTTACAAGCCCATGCAAGGGGAAAGGGCTATGAAACTCAAGTTTATGCTTTCACTGATGTGGAATTGGAGGCTTGGAAAAGGTAAGACCACAGTAATTTGTTAGCAAAATCAGGATTTGAAAGCAGGTGCTCAGATTCAGATACTTTTACACTATGGTATTTTCACATGACATATACTGCCTGGCAGAGTCTTCTGGTGATGGGCTTAAGAAAGCAACACCATATGCCTTGGTCTTTTCCTCCCACCAAGGTGTACTGTTGTTCTTTAGTAAACATGAATTAAGTTAGAAAATCCTAGAGATTTTAAAGGTGTAGAATTTTAAAACAAATTCTGCACATTTATATTGGAGTGTAGAATCTTAGCCAACTAATTTACATATTCAACCGCACTCTTGCATAGAGAAATTGGTGCCACCACAGCCTGTGTTCATAAATAACAGTTCCCGAAGAATTTTTTTTTTCATAACTGGTTTTGTACTTGAAGTGATTTAAATGTTGTACTTTGAAATCATTGTAGCAAGAACATATTTTAGAATTTCTAAAAGCTGAACAGAATGGAAGGTTATCTATAACATGAGCATAATCACAGTCATAATATCTGTTTAAAATAAAATGCTGAAGAGAATTAAATATTCCCTTCAAGCCAAACTCAAATTTCAACACAAAATAGATTGTAGACTTGCAGCTAATGTTGCTTGCTGGGGCCCATTCTTTAGGAGTTTAGAGCCTTTGAAAAGCTTTTGTTTATTATTTTTTCAGTGCTAAAGAAGAAATTCCCCAGCTTTTAGAAACAGAACTGGTCCTACCTTCTCACACAATGACTTGTGCACTGCCCTGAGCTTGATTTGTAAGTGTTCTACCTGAGTGCACTTCTTGTCTTAACTACACTGAAAACTTTCAGATGACAAATTGTAGGTTGATGGCACTGAATTTACTGCTATGTAAATGCTATGACTGTTTCATAAAAATATTTGCTGATGTATTATATTGTTATAAGATAGAACTTTAACAAAAATTATAAATGGGGGAATATATATGAAAATATTAAAAAAATATAACTCTCATTCATAAAGACTTCCCTTTTTCTTTAACTTTTATTTTAAGCTCAGGGGTACAGGTGCGGGTTTGTTATGCAGGTAAACTTGTGTCATGGGGGTTTACTGTACAGATTATTTTGTCACTCAGGTATTAAGCCTAGTACCCATTAGTTATTTTTCCTGATCCTCTGCCTCTTTCCACCCTCCACGCTCTGATAGGCTCCAGTGTGTGTTGTTCCCCTCTATGTGTCCATGTGTTCTCACCATTTAGCTCCTACTTATAAGTAGGAACATGCGGTATTTGATTTTCTGTTCCTGGGTTAGTTTGCTAAGGATAATGGCCTCTAGCTCCAACCATGTTGCTTCAAAGGATATGATCTCATTCTTTTTGATGGCTGCATAGTAAGAATTCCTTTTCTTAGTTTCACCCTTCATTTTCTTTAATAAGGAAACAGAACTATACCCTGAGGAGGCGTGAACTCAAATGAGTAAATACATTCACAATTAGGAATTATTTGGAAAATTCTACTCACAGAAAGTTAGCACTGGAAGGCATCTCTAAAACCACCTAACTCAACCCATGATCCAAATGGAGTACATAAATCTTAGAAACGTCCAGTGACATGCTCGAGCTGGAAGGAACAACTAGGACTCCTAAATCCCAGCTAATCTCCTACTCAACTGTACTGGCTATCTAGGAAAAATAAAAGTTTACATTTCCCTTAGAATTATTTGAACAAGAAGTCTCTAAAACACAAGAAGTTAATTTAGGTCTCCTTTGTCTTGGCAGAAAACGGACAATATATTTCTTAGAAGGGTGATGATGTGACATAAATCCAATTCATTCTGGCTTGAGCATGAAAAGGAGTTTATTGGTTCCTTTAACTGAACTATGCATGGTCTGGCTATTGTGACTAGACCTAGAAACTGAAATGCCATTAGGTTCTCTCTTTCCACAACTCTCTTCTTTATGTATTCTTATACACTGGTTTTATTCTCTCTGACCGGTTGTCTCTGTGAGTCTGCAACCAGAGCTTTAGGTAACTCTAGGTGTCATTCTTACTACCTCATACCTAAAGAAGAAAGAAAATGCTTCCCTACCAGTTTTACTGAAGAAAATCCTGAGGGGAAATGTGGATGGGTTCCGGCAAGATCAAATAAACATCTCTAGGTCAACCACTATGGCTGCAAGATTGGGACTAGGACAATTCCAACTGGGATCACGTGCCAGGAGGCAGGAGAACAGTTAGACTGGCAGGTCACCTTGGAGTCACATTTGAAGTATGAGAGATGCAGGTCTCCCCGAAAATTGGGGTTGTCACCAGAGAAAGGAGAAAAGATGTGCCAGGCAGGGAAAACAGCAGGTGCCAGATGAGAAATTAGAGTCACTTAAGACTTGTTTTGCCCTGAGAGAAAATACTAGCCACTTAGCATTTTTTCTTTTTTTTCTTTTCTTTTTTTTTTTTTTTGGTCTATTCAACATCTGAGCCTCCTTAGGAGGCTTTTAGGGAATCATGTATCTTATGACCTCTGGTGGCAGACATAATCCATTTTCTACTGACCATATTCTAAAGAAGTTGAAAATGCCAGATACTTGGTTTCCCAGCCTCCTTTGTAAGTAGGGCACAGGAACATGACCTAGACTCAGCTGATTTCCTGGACTTTGAGTCAGGGATTATTGATACCAATATTCAGTTCATAGGCAATGGTAGCTGCAGTATCTGGTCTGGGGTGGCAACAGCAGCAGTAGTGTAAGTTGGGTATCCGACACTCATGGGCAGCAACAGCAGTGTTCTAACAGGACTGGACTTGTAGTTTGAAGCTGAAGGCAATCTTATCTGTTACCAAACTTCATTTGCTCCTGCACATTTTAAAACTTGGTTCTTTATAGTTCTCTTGGTGATACCATGAACTCCCAATAAATTTACAACAAATTAGTTCTCTGCTTAATCAATCTAGAGTGAGTTAGTGTCTGTGGCTCACAACAAAGATACATAAATTTTACATACTTCTGTATCCTAGCAGAGGAAAGCTCTGGCATCATTCTGTGTTGTTGGAAAACTTAATTAGTACATCTCCTCTTTAAGAAGTTTTGATTAACATCTTGTCTTATATTAACTGTAGGTCATTTTTAATACCTGATGCTACATCAACCCACATTAAAGAATTTTAAGAGCACCTTTGTTAGTCTATACCACCTACCTGTAGATAGGTGTCACCATTATTAAACAATACAGGGTTCAATATTTGTCTAGTATTTCATTATCAGGATGACCTCGAGGTCACCATAACCTTTTCTGTTTTGTCCTTCAGTTCTGCTAAGGGAAAGACGCCAATAAATAGTTCACTTTCAACTAAACCATCATGGAGAAGGTGCCACTCTATCTTTAAAAGAAAAATGGTCTGACTTTGAATGCCTTAGAAAATGAAAGGAAAATGAGTAAGTAGAAAAACTAGGCTGGGCACAGTGGCTCACACCTGTAATCCCAGCACTTTGTGAGGCCAAGGCAGGCGGATCACGTGAGGCCAGATGTTTGACACCAGCCTTGCCAAGATGATGAAACCCTGACTCTACTAAGAATTCAAAAATTAGCTGGAGGTGGTGGTTTGTGCCTGTAGTCCCAGCTACCCAGGAGGCTGAAGCAGGAGAATCGCTTGAACTTGGGAGGCGGAGGTTGCAACCAGCTGAGATCGCACCACTGTACTCCAGCCTGGGTGACAGAGTGAGACCCTGTCTCAAAAATAAAATAAAATAAAATAAAATAAAATAAAATAAAATAAAATAAAATAAAATGAAAGTAAAATAAAATAGAAAAACTAAAACTTCAGTGATAGACTTTTAATGCCAAGTCAGCATTCAATTTAAATAAGAGCTAATGTTACTCTTAGGAAGTCTGATGTATTAGTGTTATAACTGTGTACCTTAAACTTCCACAAAGACAATTAAGTTGGAAAAAGTTATTTTTATATGACAACATGAACTTCCATTCTGTTTTTACAGATTCAGATGGAAAATAAAATTTAGACTTGCATTGCTAAGGAATGGCAGAAAAGTGTTAAGGCTAAATATCATCTGAAAACACTCAACATGTCACCAAAGGTTTTATGAATTTATCTTCTCTGAGCTTTGTTTGTTTCAAAAAAGAACACATATACACATATTTGCTATGGATAGATGTGATTGACCACTGTGAGTGGCCCATGTTAATCTGCTACAAATATTTAAACATGCTGCTTGGGCAGGTCCTACTGAGGACACTTTTGCAGCAAACTCAGTAATATGAGATTCCTCACTGCCTCCTAGCAATACATGAACCATAGATGTGTTGGTTGCTTGCTCATTTTGTGAACACTAACTAGTTTAGGCATTTCTGTTTCTTCCATGGCAGGGGCAAGTGTAAAAAGAGTGGCTGTCTAACTAAATAACAATGACACTGTTAAATAAAAGCTGCACTTTAGAGAAAGCACATCCTAACTTGGAATTTATCAGGACCTATCAAGTCAATACAAACTGACTATGCTGGGAACTTGAGTCATTTTCTGCTTAAGGAGAATATGCAGTAATTACCCTTTAAACATTTTCTCCCAACTTCTTCCCTTTTACCTTTTTTCCATTTATTTTTCTGGAAATTAATTACCATTTAGAAGGAATGACAGGTATTTTTGAGCCTTGAGAGAACCAATGAAATAGTTACCTTGAATATACTGTCATAATGGTGTGTCTAGAAGCACAACCCAAGACAGCACTAGTCAGGCCATTTGCTGAGAAGCACTTAGGACAATAATTTTGCTTATAAAACAGAATCAAGATAATCAACAGAAACAAGAAACAAATGAATCAAATTAAGGTTCTTGATGACAGAAACTCAGCTAAACCATTCAAAAATATGATGTTAAAGAAACATGATTGTCATTTCCAACCAACTAACTAGACGTGTTCTGTTATGGTTCAAATTAGGAGCATGAAATACACTTTACAACCTAGGGGATTTTAGAGCACTTAGATGAATTACAAGTGACATATGGGAGCTCATTAAAGGAAGGTGACGTTATGAATGCCCAGAGAGCTTGCTGGAAATCAGAGCTTTTTTCAAAAAGGCTTCAAGGGTCAGTCATGTTGATTAGAGGATGCTCTTCATTCTTATGGATGAACCATTTCTCTTTAGCACTTCTCAGTTATCACAGTGCTTGAGTGTTGGCCATTACTGAAAGTTTCTAAGTCGTGAGCATGTGGGAGGGTGGGGGTAAGGTGGGTGAAGGGTCGGGGGTTGTGGTTTGATTTTGACAGGCAAACAATAAAAGCTATTGAAGAGTAAGACCTCAGTGCAGCCTGTTTCTGCTATTTCACCCAAACTTCAAGGTAACAGTTGAAGTTGCAGGAGCAAGAACAGCCCATGGTTGCTTCTATGTTATGAAGGCTGTGTCTGTAAGCTGAGCTTTGAATGACACATTATTTCCTCTGTGCACCCCAATCTATTTTCTGCCTGACTAAGCTTATAAAACTCTGCATAAATTCTCCTCTCAGACTGTTCCATAATCCTGTGAACACATTGTCTTCCTGTTCATTCCTTCAGCCAGCAAGCACCAGCTGTTGGGTCCTGGAAACATTTTATGTTAAGGAGGAAAAAAAAGTAGATGATCAGAAAGCTGTAAAAACTGCAAAATGCTTGAGATATGCAGACTTTTTAGGGTTGTGAATATTTGACCTGCATAAAAGAAATGATTAGGCTTCCATCAATCATTCCTCTGCTGAACACTCTGCTGAGATCGGTTTATCCAGATGCTTCTCAGCTGCCTCGGTTCTGCACAGTTTGTAAACTAATCCAGTTTTGTTTGTTATGTGCTAGAGAAAGGATAAACTCCAAGCTGAAAAATATGGACAAAGATATAATTATCTTAACATAACACTCATGCTTTATTTTTATGTAAAATGTCAGAAACTTTATTATCTATATCTTTCAGCTTCCAAAAGAAGGTGGAAGTCACTTGATAATGTCTTTCTAATTGCTTGAATGCACACTTCATGCCTCAACTCCACAGGAAAGCTAGTTGTTATAATTAGAAGTTTTATAAAGACATAGTTTATACAAATTACAGATAATTACTTAACTAAAACTCCAGTCTCTTGCCATCTTAGAAGATATCCAGCAACATGTGATTTAAACAATAGGTTAAAGTGGAAGATGTGGTGATTATATTGGGAAGGATGCTCAATTGTTTTTATAAAATTTTCTTTAAAAATTGGTAGCTGTTATCGTGAACTGAATAAGTTCTGTTTCCATTTGGAGACTTAATTCAGGATATATCTGGAAAGACAAAGCATATCTACACTCCAAATAGTTTAAAAAGAAGAGCATTTATGCACATTTTGTTACTAACGTCTTCCTATTCCTTTTATTGATAATTTTTAGGGAGGAATGAAAACCAGTCAAATAGGTGATATTACTCTATGATAGGGGTCATATAACTTTTTTATTAAAGGAATAGATAGTAAATATTTTAGGCTTTGCAAGACATGAAATCTCTTCTGTAATCATGCAGGCAATTTTGTTATTGTATTTGGGAAAGCAACCATAGGCAATACATAAAGCATGAGCGTTGATATGTATCAGTATATCTGTTTACAACATACCCTTAGCTAGTATCATACTGAATGGGAAAAACTGAAAGCCTTTCTTCTAAGATCTGTAACATGACAAGGATGCTCAATTTTACCACTGTTACTCAACATAGCACTGGAAGTCTTAGCTAGAGCAATCAGACAAGAGAAAGAAATAAAAGGCATCCAAATTGGAATGGAAAAAGTCAAATAATCCTTGCTTGCAGATGGTATGATCTTATATTTGGAAAAACCTACAGATTCCACAAAAAGCTATTAAAACTGATAAATTCAGTAAAGTTGCAGAATATAAAATTAACATTAAAAATCGGTAGCATTTCTTTATGCCAACAGTGTACAATCTGAAAAAGAAATAAAAAAATACTGTTTATAATAGCCACAAATAAAATTAAATACCTAGGAATTAACCAAACAAGTGAAAAATCTCTATAATGAAAACTATAAAACACTGATGAAAGAAATTGAAGAAGACACCAAACAATGAAAAAATATTCCATGTTTATGGATTGGAAGAATCAATACTCTTAAAATGCGCATACTACCCAAAGCAATCTATAGATTCAATGCAATCTCTATCAAAATACCAATGACATTTTTTATATAAATAGAAAAATAATCCTAAAATTTCTTTGGAACCACAAAGGAACCAGAATAGTCAAAGCTATCCTAAGCAAAAAGAATAAAACTGACAGAATCATATTATCTGATTTCAGACTATACTACAGAGCTATAGTAACCATCATAGTACTGGCATAAAAACAGACACATAGACCAATGCAACAGAATAGAGAATCCAGAAACAAATCTGAAAACCTACAGTGAACTCATTTTTGACAAAGATGCCAAGAACATATACTGGGGAAAAGACAGTCTCTTCAATAAATGGTGCTGGGAAAACTGGATATCCATATGCAGAAGAATTAATCTAGACCCATATCTCCAATCATATATGAAAATCATGACTTAAATCTAAGACCTCACACTATAAAACTACTAAAAGAAAACATTGGAGAAGCTCTGCAGGACATTGGTCTGGGCAAAAATTTTTTGAGGAATACCCACAAACCAAGCAAACAAAGCAGAAATGGACAAATTGGATCACCTCAGGTTAAAAACCATTCTCAAAGCAAAGGAAACAATCAAAAAAGTGAAAAGAAACCTCACAGAATGGGAGAAAATATTTGCCCAATCAAAAATGGGCAAAATATTTGAATAGACATTTCTCAAAAAATGCATACACATGGCAAACAGGCATAAGAAAAGGTGCTTGACATCACTGATCATCAGAGAAATGCAAATTAAAACTACAATGTGATATCTTCTCAGCCCTAGTTAGAAGGGCTGATATCCAAAAGACAGGCAATAACAAATACTGGTGAGGATGTGAATAAAATGGAACCCGTGTACACTTTTGGTGGAACTGTAAATTAGTACAATCATTACAGAGAGCAGTTTGGAGGTTCCTCAAAAAACTAAAAATAGAGCTAACACATGATCCAGCAATCCTGCTGCTGGGGTATATACCCAAAAGAAAGGAAATCAGTGTATTGAAGAGATATCTGCACTCCTATTTTTATTGTAGCACCATTTACAACAGCTAAGATTTAAAAGCAACCTAAGTGTCCATCACCAGATGGATGGATAAATAAAATGTAAGACATACACACAATGGAGTACTATTCAGCCATAAAAACAAATGAGATCTTGTGATTTGTGAAAACGTGGATGGAACTGGAGATTATTATGATACATGAAATAAGCCAGACACAGAAAGACTAACATCGTATGTTCTCACTTATTTGTGGGACCTAAACATCAAAACAGTTGAAATCATGAACATAGAGAGTAGAAGAATGGTTACCGGGGGCTAGGAAAGGTAGTGGGCAGTGGCAGTGGGGCAGGTGGGGAGGTAGGGATGGTCTATTTTAAACAGAGTAGAAAGAATGAATAAGACCTGCTATTTGATAGCACAACAGGGTGACTATAATCAATAATAACTGTAAATTTAAAAATAACTTAAGGAGTGTAATAGAATTGTTTGTAACACAAAGGATAAATGCTTGAGGGTATAGATACCCCATTTTCCATGATGTGATTATTACACATTGCATGTCTGTATCAAAACATCTCATGTACCCCATAAATATATGCATCTACTATGTACCCAGAAAATTAAAAGTTAACAAAATTTTAAAGTCACCTATACAAAAATAAAAATAAATATGTTTACAAAAATACATGGCCCACAGGCCAGCACTTGCCATCCCTTGCTATATACCAAGCATCCAATGATCTGGAAAGCAACACTAGTCATTATCACTGTCTTCAAGACATTTTAAGTTTTTTGCTTCCTTGTAAAACCTAAGGTCTAGCAGACCTTCTCAAGGAACATTCTACTGAAGAGTTAAGCCTTAAGGCATTCAGTGGAAGGAATAGGGAATTTTCATCCTGTGCCTCTAGAATGGAAGAACTGAGAAAAATGTTATCAAGTCATTTCTGTAAGGCTTAATTTTCTCATGGAACCCTAGTTGGAAAATCCAAGAATAGGTGCTTTATAAAAACTGAATTGCAAAAAGTGCAGTTTTGGTGTAGTTTGTAGTGGCTCAAGTTAACCAACCTCTTTATTTGAAGACAGGACAAAATAAATATAAATATTTGTCTTTCACTTCTGGTTCACAGATTTGCCATTTCGCTAGATTTAACAGAGATAGTAAATGTAGAAAACATGACTATAGAGTTGAGCTTATGGGATGTGGAGGTTGCTAAGGGGAATAGCATATTTTCAAAAAGTCATTTTTTTTTAGCAAAACGTTCCGATGTTTATTTGTAGGTAGTTATGACTATGAGGAGTGGGCATTTGAATAGCAGTGTAGAGGTTGTGGGGTTTTAGGTCTATACCTCAGGAACTTACATGCAGGCCCTATACCACAGTAGTAGGAGAACATCTAATAATACTGAGTGGCTGCATTCATATTTCAGAGCACTCTGTAATGATTTGAGTCCTGCCCTGGATGAATTTAAAACAACCATCTTATTGTTAGAAATCATGACTACCAATCATTAACATTACCTCCATTTCAATAAAATGAAAAAGACCCCAACTTTGAGATTAGAAACAAGTTTGTAAAGCCACAGTGACATTAATGGTTCCTGAGTCACTTCCCATTTTGATCTATGAGGTAGCAAGGTGTGGTGTGAGTCTTTGCAATGGGAAGGTAGTCACACTGAACTGGGAGCAGAAGACATGGTTTCCTGCCCTAGCTCCATTACTTATCATCTATGTGTGCTTGTGCAATTTATTGCCCATGCAATTTATTGCCGCACGAAACCTCTGTTTTCTTATCTCCAAAGGCTATAAAAATATTGTCCTGCCACAGGACAGAGGCATAAATGACAAAATACATTAGAATACTTTTTCCCTTTAACATTATTTTATTGAATTAAAGCATTGTTCAATGTACTGATAAAACTAGTCGATAAAACTAGTCATGACACTGAAAAGTATGCAATGCAATGAAGGAAGATGAAGGCAGTAAAGTTCAGAAATGTTACACCATAAGGCATGGAGAAAACGATAGGGCATGGATTTGAACCATGGACGTTTCCCTTTCCCCATTATATTACATGGTCTCTCAACAATCAAAGACAATGTGTTCCCTGTCCCTACATGCCAAGTATAAAAACCTCACCCTTTTAAAATGCAGTAGTCTCCACTTATCTGAGGTTTCACTTACTGTGGCTTGTGTTAGCTGAAGTCACCTGCAGTTTGAACATATTAAATGAAAAAATCTAGCAATAAAAATTGTATACATTTTAAATTGCATCACTCTGAGTAGAGTGATGAAATCTCAGACAGTCTTGCTCCTTCCTACCTGTGACATGATGCATCCATGCTATACATGCTACCTACCTCTTAGTAGCTGTCTAGGTTATTACGTTCACTGTTGCACTATTATAACGCTTGTGTTCAAGCACTCATTTTATCTTTATTAAAGTTCGTTGTTATAATTGTTCTATTTTATTATCATTTATTATTGTTAATCTCTTACTGTGCCTAATATATAAGGTAAGCTTAATCCTAGGTATATATGTATAGGAAAAAACACAATAGATATAGGGTTTGGTACTATCCACAGTGTCAGGCATCCACTGGGGTCTTGGAAAGTATCCCCCATGAATAACTACTGTACTAAAACAAAAATTAGATCAATTACGTATAGTTAATTTGTGAGCATTACTTTTTAATTTTTTCCAACAAAGATAATGTAGCCTTCTGCTTCCTAAGTAGGGAATTTTTCTAGGCTATTATATAGTCTTCCAGCTATCAGTCATTCTCTGTACATATTCTATATTTAACAATATAAGTGAGCAATAAATAAAATTATAGATTTTAAAAAATCATGTACACCACAAATATTTACAATTACATCTGTCAATTAAAAAATCTAAAAAAATTATAAAATATTATGAATATGCAGCTTACCAGTTTTGTTTGTTTTTAAACCTGAAGGTGGTTATTTAAAGTAGGCCCATTTTATTAAATGTGATACTTTCAAATTGGCCAACATGCATTGCCTGAAATGTTTCATTATGCAGTACAACCTATTTATTCAGGTGAAAGTATACAGAATATTGCATATCTCTACATGCATTGATCTAAATGCAAATGTAGTTAAATGTGAAATCCAACCTTGGTGTCATTTAGTGTTACATTCAGCTATGAAAATTTAGGAGCATTCTTTCTTCATTTTTTAACATAGAAATCCAGAAATCAACAGCAATTTCAGGAAAAACTTGCAAAAATGAGGTAGAACATTTTAAATTCATATGCCTAAGCCATTTAGAAAGCATTTTTGCAGGTATAAAATAAGTTAATGTTAGGTTGTGACATGGTCATTAAAAAAGAAGGTTTGATAGCTTCTGTAGACCATGTTCACACAGAATTTAAAGGTAAGAGAAAGGCAAAGGCTTTAGGTTTTTATTTCACCCAGTTGTAGGACTGACTAAGGTGCTTATACCAAATTCATTTAAATCAAATTGTTCAGGGAAAATTTCTAATCCTGCCTGGTCAAAATTCTATATTCCTAGTCTCATTGCTCTATTGCTACAAAACAACATCATAATGAATCTAAAATAAATGCAGCAAATTTGAAATCTGGGCATGGGATTTAAGGCAACTGTTTTACTTATCTTCATCCATCTGGATTGCTATAACAAAAATACCATAGACTGGATGGCTTAAACAACAAACATTTATTTCTCATAGTTCTGGAGGCTGGGATGTTTAAGATCAAGGAGCCACACAGACTCAGTGTGGTGTGGTGTTGTTACAGCCGCCTTCCTGGTTCACAGATGGCACCTTCTCGCTGTGCTCCCACATGGCAGAAGGGGCAAGGGAGCTCACTAGGGTCTATTTTATTAGGATACAATCCATTCATGAGGGTTCTGCCCTTATTATCTAATCACTTCCCAAAGGCCCCCACCTCCTAATATCAACATCTTGGGTGTTGGAATTTCAATATATGAATTTGGGGAACATAAAGATTTATTCATAACATCATTGTATGAATAAGAATATTGGAATCCAGTAAGGCTAAATGACTTATCTGTGACCCTAATAGTAGATTGAATACAAGATCAGAACCCATTCCTTTGTGTCCCATACATCCTTCCTTTAACATTAGTTCCTTGAGGTAAAGTGTTGTTCAATGTATGAGTAAAACTATAGGGTCATAACACTGAAAGGTATGTTAGTGCAATGAAGGAAAATGAAGAAGGCAGTGAAGTTCAGAAATGGTAAGTCATACAGTTAAGAGAAAATTATAAGGCCTGGACTTGAACCATGGACTTTCCCTCTCCCATTCTGTTACATAGCGTCTCAACAATCAAAGGCAATTGTTGATGTTCCAATTCACTGGATTATACTGTCCACATAAGTACAAAGCTGTAAAGAAGTCACTGATTCCCAATGGATAACTTTACAGTTTGTAAGCTGCATTAGGAATTTTATGTCACTTGAGGCACTTGTTTTTTTCATGGCAATACAAAATAAAATCTTCTAGGCAGAATAAAGTAGCATTGAAAGTGAATGGGGGCATCCTAGCCAACTGAATGTGCCTGTCATCTTTCCACTAACTATCTACAGCAAATAATTTTACGTACTGAAACATTCTGGCTAACTTACTCATGTGATGAGCTAAATGTCCTCTGAAGTAGTTTTAGATGGTGAATGACAATTTCCAATTGGAAAAATATAGTATCAGAATTTTTTCCTATAGAACAATAAGCTTTATATCTTAGATATAGGGGTATAACCTAAGCATATTCATTTTTGCTTCCTGAAAAATAGTAACATGTATTAGGTTGAATGTTTGCAAAATGTTTGAATATCAGCAGTTTCATAATGTTTAACATAATAGTATAACATAGTGGTTTACATTATGGGATCTGTTCACAGAGGGCTCAGAGTCCAAGTTTAGTTCTACCACTTAGGAATATCACATGATATTAATAGGGCTATTAAGAAATAATCATTAAAAATTTTGAATCCTTTTGTTAGTCATATGAGTGCTGAAAAATGCTAGTTGTTATGATGGCCAATGATGATGATGATGATGATGATGATATTATTGATGATGTCTGCTCTATACAAATAACCCATCACGGTTGAGTCAATGGGTTTGAAGAGCTGATGTATTTTGAATTTCCTGAATACAATGACTGTAGAAAAAAGAAGATACTTATACAAAATTAGCTTAGGAAGGATCCTACCATAGAGCCTTCAGAGAGCACAGCCTGGTGGACACCTTGATTTTTGACTTCTTGACTCCAGAACTGTGAGATATTAAATTATTAAATTTCTGTTGCTTTAAGTGACCAAGTCTGTGGTACTTTTTACAATAGCTCTAGGAAATTAGTATATATTTAAATAAATGTTGTCAAATAAAAATATTAGCCTGGGTTGTAGTGTGAGTGAAAATTGGATGTTATTGAAAATGTTGATTAGCAGGCTAGGTTTTTTGGCAGATTAGGTTTAGAAAGTAATTCTAATGCACTTATGGTACAATCTTTTGTTATGGATTGAAGCCAAAATCTAAATGGATAACTAGACAATTTTCAAAAAGAACATGAGATAAGAAAATATCTTTTGTTAATTTTCCTATTAAAAGATTCCCCCTAAATTAAGGACCAATTTGGTAATATGAGTGAGAAAGGAGACAATTTTTTCCCTTTAAGATTAAAGTCAAACAACAATAACAATGATAACAATTAAAGTCCCATATCATGTATTGAGCTCCTGGTCCATGCACCAAATGTCTCAGACATTGTGTGAAGCATTTGCCTGCATCATTGCATGTAATCCTCACAACAATCCTATAAGGCAAGTTCTGTTACCATCTCAACCATCTCAATTTTACATAGTGCAAAATTGGGACTCAGAATAGTTAAATCACATTCTCATCACCACGAAGTTCTCATTGTCACGAATAAATGAGGAATTCAATATATTGAGACACTTGCGTCTTGTTCATGTTTTAAGAGTTTAGCCAAAATTTGTTTCAAAACATCTGAGACTTCTCTGGAAAGCTTAAAATTTTTTGGTATTATTCAGTGAGTGCTTCTTCCTGAATAAATGAAACATTGAAATAGTAGATATAAAATTATCATGACGTTTACCAGTAATATTTATGATGATTCCTACATCTAGACCTTCATGACTTGCTAAGGTCAAGCCTCTTTGGAAATACATGGAAACAGTCTGTGCTATGGCCAGGACCACACAAGGCCAAGGGTGTGAGGGTCAATTCTGAGATTCTCTTATGCCCTGTTACTCAAAAATCTCCATGAAATGTGCTCCAAACCTGTTTTGAGCTTGGAACTATTCACTATTATATTTTTGCTCACTTAAACAAACATTCATTGATCATATACTGGTGTGTTTGCCATTGTTGTGTGATTTGGTAACTCGAAGGCAAACAAGAATAGATATCAACCCTTGATGAGATCACAGTCCTGTAGGTCAAGTAGGAGAGAAAACAAATGATTTCAAAATACTGTTTTATATTCTCTGCTAGTGTTGTGCAAGGGAACACAAAGAAGAAGACTGGCAAAAATGTCCTGAGAGAGCTAATCCCCAACCTGAGTCTTGATATATGATCGGGATGTCTATATAACATGATATTCAACCCCATCTACCAGTCACAAAAATCTGAAAATTAAGGAGTTACATATTTGCAAGGACTGAAACTTGTCATACATTGCTGGTGACAGTAGATATTGGTGCAGCTATATGGAAGAGTAATTTGGCAATATCCAGTAAAACTGCTAATACAAATAAGTGACAATATTTTCTAGATGTAAACCTAGACAAACCCTCATATGATATACAAGAAAACATGTATAAAGGTATTCATTGCAGCATTGCTTATAAGAGCCACCATCAGAAAAAAACATGATGATTATAGTTAACAATATTTTATGTTCTTGAAAAATACTGAGAGTGGATATAAAGTGTGCTCACCACAAAAATGATAACCATGTGAGGTAATGAATATGTTAATTAGTTAGATTTAGTCATTTCACAATGCACATATACTTCAAAAACTATGTTGAACATGGTCAGTACATACATCTTTGCCAGTTAAAAATATATACGTAATGCCAGTCTCATCCAAAAGTGCCCTCGTGAAAATACCAAGAATAATGTTTGACTAAATATCCCAGCACTATGGCCCAGCCAACTTGGCACATAAAATTAGCTATCACAAGAGTAGACACAGGAGACTAGTTAATAAAAATGGTTGCAATAATTCAGGCTCCAATTCAGGGCCTCAAAACGTAGTAAAAGTTGAGTATATATTTGTTAATTTGAGTTGATTCAACAGTGACTTTAAAATGTGAGAAATTTGTGCATATGTACACATAAATATTTTATATATATTTTATGTATTTTAGATGTATTTTATAACTAACAATATATAAATGCAACATACTATCTATTAATATATTTTATATTTAACTAGATTAAATATTTAATATATTTAATGTATTTATGTATTATATAAAATACATATGCATTATATATGTTATATATGTGCTATGAACACTAGTCTGGTATTCTCAATGAGTTCTCATCAGCTCATTCCAAAGATATTCTGCACATGGTTTATTCTGCTGGACTTCTCTATGTCATTTGTTTTATGTTCTGGTGAACAGTTTTGGTTCATAATGTCTGGCAGAATATACTAGAGTAGTTCTGGACTTGCCACAAAAAAGACTAATTTTGATAGTACCAAGTGAACATTATTGTTGTTTTCTAGACTATTAGTTGTTTTCTAGACTTCTAGACCTCAGTATTTAGAACAATCTACGAAGAAGACAAAATCATCTGTTGAGTCTACCACTGCATTGACTACAGGAGAGCTAACTTTACAAGGAATAATGCGTATGTGAGAAAAGATGAACATCTATTAATACATTTATGGATGATCAGAAACATCAGGTGCTTAATCAGGAGAAGTACATAAAACATCTTAACCTGCATCCTCAAATGAAGCAAAGAAGCCATAAAAAACATTTTGAGATAGTTATGCTTGACCTAGATGATCAGCCCTGCAGTAACCCGCATAGCACAGACCTGATCAGTGTGAAGTAAGTGCTGACCACCTAACCTGCAGTTTTGAATTCCTCATCTGATCAAGGGAATGATTAGCATGGTCATTCTCGAAGTTTATTCTCCAGTTTCTTCTTAATGTGGATTAAATTGACGTTGATGGTAAATTTGTGCCAATGAGCATTTTAATCTCATAAGAAAAGAGTGGTTTAAGACTTCCTAGGACCATTTCACTTTCTTACTGGGCAGTAATGGTTTTTTGGGATTTTAGGCTGAATAAGGTTGTGCTTATAAGCCATTCAACGACACTAATCTTCTCTACCACCAAGTCTTCCATGTTTGGCGTAGGCCTGTACACTTTGCTGCATTTCTTTCTTCACTATTATTTGGCACGGAAAATATATTTATTAAATCATATTTATATCAGATTATTTTTAAGTGAACACATTTCTGGTATGCATATTAGGGATAGAAAAAAGAATCCATCAGGATGATGCTTACATTGAGACTGCAATAATATTTTTCAGAAAGTTCTCTGTGCACCAACTCTACCAATTAGGAACTTGATGATCTTGCTAGATCATTTATGCTTTTGCAGTCTCATCTTAATTTTTTTCTCTTTCCTCAGGGGGGATCTGTTATAGGGTGGTTGTGATGATTAAATGCCCATGAGAAGCTCTTCATAAACCTTAAATAGCTATACAAACATATTAAATAGTTGGCATTATAGATAATAATCTGATTGCAGGAAACAGAAGATCACCTTCTCTAATATATAAAGATTATTTTTCACTCAGTAAATCAATGAACAAGTTAAAATACATTCAAAAGATTACTCTGCCACACAATTAAAAGCAGTCTATTCTTTCTAGGGACTGTCAGTCTTGGCAATGATATATTTTTTTTCTAAGAATCGAAGTATATTTGAGCTGAAAGGGGCCTTGGAGAATATCCAATTCAATGCCCTCAAGCCCCACCCATCTCCATTTTATCATAATGTAAAATGTATTATGAACATAAATTAAAACTTTTTGGGTGGTTTAAATGGATTTTACTTTGAAAACTATATGTTAAAATGGATTTAGATTCCACTATGACAAAAATGAAGCCTGAAATTTTAGATTTAAGAATAAGAATCACATTTCCTAAGGATTTTTTGTTAAATGATGAATGAAAAAGGATTCAGAGAGAAAGTTGATGGGTAGATCTGACATGTTACCGTAATAATTTCTCGTAAAGTACATCCACATAAATAAGATATATGGCCATTATCAAGTAATATGAGAAAGGTGTGAGGGTGAGTAAAGCTGCTGAGAATGTAGAAAACATCAATGAGATTCCCAATTCTTGGTTATCTATGAGCTTTTTGTGCATAATTTAGATCTTTAATTCCAACATTTTCCTACTGCCACTAAGCATGCTTCTGAGTAGCTGTTATCAGTCAAGGTATGTGCAAAGAATGGAAAATAATTATAATATTAGCACAAGACATAATTAGAAGTATAAATATTATATAAAAATAATCATAGGCTACAATCATTAAGAAGAAATAAACAGCTTTTACTATTCACACCTTCTTTTGTTATAGGATTTCCTGATATTTATAACGATTTCAATACTCTATTGTTTAGAAAGGCAATTCTAAAATGAGATTATAGGAAAAAATAATTCACAGGACTCCTTAAACACTTATTTACTTGACCATGTTTGGAAAGAGAAGTCTTCCAAATAAATAAGTATTTAAATATTGAAGACAGAATATAAAGAGGGAATTAGGGCTTGTACTTACGACTAGGTTTTTTAGCAACACAGCCTATGATGGAGTCACAATTTCACCTATCAACCGAGAGAAGTAAGTTGGAATAAAGCAGTGTCTTATGCAATGTCACAACCCATGAAGCATAAAAGGAGCAGTGATAATCTGTTTTGCTTCTGATTTGTGTGAATTTGGATTGGACTGGACTGGCTAAATCCCCTGAAGAGCTGGCTTAGAAGATAAATTCTATGTATAATAGCAATATTGGTGAGAGAAATATTATGAGGGTTTTTTTTTTTTTTTTTTTTTTTTTTGAGACGGAGTCTCGCTGTCGCCCAGGCTGGAGTGCAGAGGCGCGATCTCGGCTCACTGCAGCCTCCGCCCCCTGGGGTTCACGCCATTCTCCTGCCTCAGCCTCCCGAGTAGCTGGGACTACAGGCTCCCGCCACCTCGCCCGGCTAATTTTTTGTATTTTTAGTAGAGACGGGGTTTCACCGTGTTAGCCAGGATGGTCTCGATCTCCTGACCTCGTGATCCGCCCGCCTCGGCCTCCCAAAGTGCTGGGACTACAGGCGTGAGCCACCGCGCCCGGCCGAGGGTTTTTTTTTAAGCAAAGGAAAAGAAAATCTTAAAGTTAGAGAGGTTGTGAAAAAACATGTCATAAAGTAACGTATGACGGCAAGGTTAGCTTTGGGAAAATAAGGTAATGTAATTCCTCTGAAGATGGAGCAAAGGAACAGATAATGAGGACTGATTATAATACATTTATAGTGGAATTTAGGTGAGTGCCCAAAACATCTCAGCTGAAGAAGAGGAGATTTGAAGGAATTTAAGCTGGAGAACTTTAATCTGCCCAGTAGAACAGGGTAGGTCTTATACTTAGGGAGAAGAGAAGGAGAAAGACTTGGTGGCTCAAGAACTGAAAGTTTGGAACAGAGGCAGTGAGTCATACCACATGAAAAAAATATAAGGAGAGAACAGAAAGCATGCTGGGCAGCACTGAGGACCCAGATGAAGTCAGAAATCATAGTAGAGTCAATACATTTTCCGTTAGGACTATTCAAGAGGAAAAACATGTGGTACAGGTAGCACAGGGCTGGCAGACAGCCAACTACAAGAACCTAATGTGTACAGCATTGAAATGGCCCATAATATGGCTCAGACCAGATAAGAAATAAATGACACCAGAAAAATTCTCAGGGCTCATGAGGCCAGTGAAGGGTATTACAAGAAATGGGAACCCTCAAGGCAGAGGCCAGTTCAGGTTAAGGATATAGACAAAGAATAAGTATATAGAAATCAAAAACAAAAAGAAGAAAAAACCAGAAAATAACCCAGGCATAAGGAACCATGAATGGACACAGTTAGAAACAGAAGAAAATTGAAAAATGCCATGTATCAAAACTCATCCAGTGCTGCTGAAACCATTCCTGGAAGAAAATGTATGTCCTTAAGCACATTTGTTAGTAAAAGTTAGAAATTAATGATGCCAAAAAGATAGAAACATATTATTAAATAAAGAATATATAATTTTGTATATACAAAGATGAAATATCAATAAATGAATTTAGCAAGGTTCTTAGATACAAGGTAAATATATAAAAATAAATTATATTTTTCACAAATATTAGAAAATGAAATAGCAAATAACTTACAGCAAATATTTTTAAATGCACAAAATAAATACATTAAAAATGTATAGGACCCCTACAAATAAAATATACATCATTTTGAAGAGAAACAGAATACTTAAATAAATGGAGGGTTACCCCATATTTATCAGTGGAAAGATTCAATATTGTAATGATGTAAACTCTCTGCAAGTTATTTTTTAAATTTAATGCAATTCCAATAAAATGTAAATTTTTGTTTGTTTGTATGTATTGTTGGCACTTGATAAGTTGACTTTAAAATTTATTTGCAAATGCTAAGAATAGCTAAACTATTCTTGACATAGAATAAGGGAGCTAGGGGAAAGACTCACTTTTTCAGATATCAAGGATTAATTTAAAGCTACATTAACTAAAACTGACATTGGTTTACGCATAGGAAAAATGACCAGTGTAACACAGCAGAGGCCAGTAGGAGACCCATGCAAACATAGAGAGTTGATTTATGACAAGAGTGTGCATCAGAGCAGTAGGAAATGAAAACTCTTAATAAGTGAATTTGACTCTTATCTCACATCATAAAACAATCACTTCTAGAAGAATTTTACAACATAATGTTATAGGTAAAACAAATTTAGAAAATAACATGAGAATAATTTTAGAATCTTGGGACAGAAGAAAAATTTCTGCAATAGACACAAAATACATTAAACATAAAAAATTAGATTAATTTAAAATGATACTAATTATGTTGTAGTAATATGAACTTCTGTTCAATGAAAGAAACTAGGAAAGACAAAGAGGAAAGATACAGACTAAGAGAAGATATTTTTCACATATATAATAAACAGATAGTATATAGTGATATCCTAGGAATAACTTAGAAAAAAGCCAATCCAATAGAAAAAAAAGAGCAGGATATTTGACTAGGTATTTAATCAGAGAGACTGTTTCTCTGATTATTAATGAGAAAAGGCATTCACCGAGTGTCGTAACCTACTCACTATAATGGTTAAAATCAAAGTTATCAACAGTGTCATGTGTCACATGTGTTAGTATGTGGCATAATTAAAATGTCTAACAATATTATAATAGACAAAACAAATTTTTCAGAATAGTCCTATGATAGAATCCTATTCAGCAATAAATTTTTTTTAAAAAAGCAAATGACTGACAGCTACTTGCAGCACTGTGGAATCTCACAATCAGAATGCTTAATAAAGCCAAATACAAAAGCATACATACTTAAATAACTTCATTTCTATACATTTCAAAAGCAAGCATAACTGAAGTTTGGTGTTAGCCTTTAGGACAGCGGTTACTTCTAGGGAGTAAGGGCAGGGTTACTAATAGGAAGAGGACAAAAGGGAGACTGTCAGGGTACCGGCTATTTTCATCATGGTTACCTGGGCTATTCATTTTGGAAAAATTCCTTTGGTTGTAAATTTGTTTTGTGTGTTTTTCTATGCGTTATACTGCAACACAAAAGAAAACAGACAAAGCATGTGAATGGAATTGTTGACAGTGTATTTCTTGCATTCATAATACAATACATTTGTAACGCAATTTCCCATTTCTGTTTCAATGACTAACCTTTCATGGATATGTAGCCTTAGATTTTAGAATCTTGCTTAAAACTAATGACAACAAACAAGGTAATGAAGACTCGGTAAAAACTACACTATTGAATATATTATGATTCTTTAGCTTCAGAGCAGTTACTGTAGCTGCCTTCCTCCTTTTCTCTTTGCCCATATATAGCCTGAGCCTTCTAATATTTCTAATACACCCCAAGGTTGTCAACTCATGGCTTAGATTATTGGCCAGTTTGACTACCCCTAAAAATGTAAGTGGAAAGGGTCACAGCAGGACATGTAGCCAGACTCCATTAAAAATATTAATAAAAGAAGAGCACAAATTTATTAAATGAAAATCCTCTGATCTGTTCACTGTAGCAAACAGCTGTTATTCTGTATCCTACCGAGGGCCTTGGGACCCAGTGGCACTAGCAGGTTTGCCTCTGTGTACATTTCTCTCAGCTGGTCAAATAAACAGCTCTTCTATCCTCCTGTAGAGAGGCAGGGTTGCTCCCAGTTGTCAAACTCAAATAATCCCCTTCAAACAGAATCCCTGGCAAGTTCAAAGAAAACATGCCAAACCCCACTGCTCTGGGGGATAATGGCCACCAAGAACCGACTGTGGGAGTAGAAATTAAAAGATGCCTCTGAACATGAAACCTTAATAAACCAAGCATCTTTACAAATATTACTCCCTCATCCAATGCCCTTTCTCATAAAATTAACCCCAATCCCTTATGCTCTCATCCCCTCATTTTATATTCCAATAGTTGAAGTTCAAGTTTACTTAGCAGCATAAAATTTTACTTACACTGTTTTCCAATCACATAAATGGTCTTGAATATAGTGTTACCAAAACATAAGACAAAACAAGTAGAATTACATGTCAAAGCACAGTTTGACCTTCATTTTAATAACCAGGAGAGATATAAAAATATTAAACAGCTGATAAGACACAAGTTGACACTGCATGGACACGACTAATTAGTAAGCAACTGATTAACCATAAATAACTGGTGCAACTAATAATTCATATACATACCTTGTGGCTGATGGAAGAAATTAATAATTTCTTCAAGATTTGTGAGTATGTTTCTCAATTCCTTTTCAGTCATCACAAGTTTTCCTTGTATCCCCATGGATCTCACCCACACAGAAAAACAGGCATTATCTTTTCTCTATCTATCTTTTCTATCTCTGCATCTCTCCATATATTATCTATCTATCTATCTATCTATCTACCTACCTACCATCTATCTAACTATTTATGCTTGAGAAAATAAGGTCCAAAATTTAGCTGATTAAGCAGGAAGAGTTGAATGTATGTTTCAGTGGGTAAATAATTATACCAATAGTGAAAATAGCCTGAACACTTTAAAACATCATGTTACTGTGTAAATATCATATGGCTGCTTATATCTATCATTTGGTTTCTACCTTTATCTACAGTGAATTTCCTGACTTGATTTTAATAGGCACCATGTGGCCTATTTTGCCATCCCAGGCAGCTCGTAAACTTCAGAAATAAATAACTTCCGCTTATGTCACAGGGGTGTTTTAAGTAGTAATATAAATGTGATCACTTGCCAGAAAGTATTTGAATTCATCAGAGAAAAGGTACCATGTATGAGAAATGTAATATCACAGTGGGTAGGGGCTAAACATGGTCATTCTTAGCCTAACACTTATCTGGGCAGTATGTCTAAGGTTTTCCTATTGATGGAATGCTAGCCTGGATACCTAGATTGTGTGTGAGAGGAATGAACATTGAGCTGGGAGTCAAGAGATCCCAACATTTGTCATGGCTCTACTTCAGACTAGCATTGGCAAATTTTCATAAAACTCTACTTTCTAGGCATTAGGTATCTCATCTTTAATATGAGATAGAAAAAAACAGTAGATAAACTTGAAGATGGCTTCCAGTACTAACATTCTGTAATTCTGTAGTTCATGCTAATCCTTCATGCCTAAGAAGGTAAAAAATTGTTTTTGAAAGTAAATAGCAGAATGATGATTTAGAAGTTAAAGTTCTACCTTCACTGAAATGCCTACCCTCATCAACTAATTAGGATTTAGCCCTCACAGGTGACTTAGGATAAGAGAAAAGGCTTCCCTTATCCTATCAAAGCTTGTTTCCAAGTACTGTAGTATGTAATCTTACTCATTTCTTCCAACTCACTATAATCTGTAATTTTATTTTCATTTTAAAAAACATTTTCTCCTCTAATATAATTTAGGCTATCTTGTTTACTGCTGAATTCTTAGCATCCAGAACAAACACCTAGCATGTAGCAGGGCTCAAAAACATACAGTGAGTGAAAAACCAAATGCATATCAAAACCATTTAGCTTAGTGTAGCATATGACTAGATATGTTTAAAAGAAAGATGTTTAATGAACACTAGTATGCGGAAGACTGTTTTCCTCAGATACACTGAAAGAAAAGGTGTGCTGGAATCAGATCAATAGAAAGTATCCGGCAGTTTTCCCAGTCTAAATCACTTTTGCCAGGTCATTAGATAAGTACATAGCTTACGTATGATAATGGTTTTGCAATAATTCAAAGAGAGTAGTCTTCTATTTTATATGACATGGCATTAATTCAGTGAAAGCTTTGCTGAATCCTAGAGTATTACTTTTATTTACTGTGGCATGGTTTTAATATATACTCAAGTTAGATGCAAATTTTAGCAAAAGATATCAGCTGAGTGCTTTAATCAGTTTCATATTGTGCTAATAATATACCATAATATACAAATTGTTATATATCATGTTGTAGAAAAATAATTTATATAACTGAGCTTTACAAAACTTAAAGCATAAGAAATGTATTTTACATGTTTTCTCAGCATCTGTAGTTTCAACATGTATATTGTTTGTTATTGCTATTTATTGTGTGTGTCTATTTTTAAAGATACTATGTTTAGCAGGATTAAAAATATGGATGTCATCTGCATTGCTCCAGAACACTCTATCATAGAATAGTCTGTTGGGTAATTTGTATATAGGTCATCAGGATTTCTTTATAAGGTTAATCTATAGTTATATTTTATGTAGTCAGAGAAATCATTGTCCCATGATGTCTTTTCTTGGGTCATCTTGATAACTGATTGTCACACAATGATCCAATCAGCCATTTGATTGATCTGATTCAGTATATCCATGGCACCTGGACCAAACATTTCAAGGTCAGACTCTTTCTGTGTGACACTGATGAACATGGCATACAACATCAAGGGATAAAAAAGTCCATTATATTCAAGAACTGTCCCACACCAAATACATTTCCATCGCTTTCTTTAAAGATGACTGAGACTCCGAACTGAATACTGTTAGGCCAATGATTTCAGTTGACAGCAATCTGTGGTATGAAGTTGCACAGTTAGTATGGACATTCGGTCAGATTGATAAAAATCATCACGGTAATAATGCTTCATTAAGAAACTAGAGATTTGTGTTCAGAAAAGCGACTTCAATATAGGATTTGGAAGAAATTAATACTGAAATAAGCAAATAGCTTATGGGTCTAGACAGCAGTCATGAAGATACAATACAATGTTATCCAATTTCAAATTTTAAAACAAATGGACAGAACTATGGAGGAGTCATTGAATTTCCTGTCCTCTGAACAATCAGTCTCAAATACAGATTCATTTTTCATATGCCTGAACTTTTGGCTGAAGAATTCATCACAAATATCCACTGAGTATTTACATGAAATAGGCATTCCCATAGGAGCTGGGGATATAACAATATATACATTTGACAAAAATCTCTTCCCTTTTGGACTTTCAGGTCTAATGGCAGAGATAGGTAATAAACATATTAAGCAAATTAATTAAAAAGTGTATTAGGAAGTGATAGTGCTATGGAAACAAATAAGGATAGGGTGAAAAGGGGTGCCTTGGACTTGGGGGATTATGTTTGAAATAGAGAGATCAGGGTACGCTTTGCTGAAAAGTGACAATGGTAGAAATTGATAAGGTTCCATTGGGAGGGAGATCTACAACATCAGTGGGAAGCATGTTCTGTGCAGATTAAATAGCCAGTGCATAGGCAAGGAGGCTGGACTGTACTAGCATGTGTGAGGAACACCAAGGAGGTCAGTGTGGCTGCAGTGTGATGACATAGGGAAGTGGGAGTAAGATACACGGTCAAGTGTGTAGGACCTTGTAAACCATCATAAAGGCATTCAAGTGCAATGTGAAGCTGACAGGGGTTTTCAGCAGAAAAGTGACAATATCTGAGTTATAATGTACAGACTTACTCTTCTCACCATGGGAGAAAATACATTATGGGATTACAAGCTATGATGGAAGAAGGATAGTTGGTTAGGAGTGAGATGATGATGGCTTAGATCAGAGTTTTAGACTACAAACTTTCCCTCTCAAGTCAAATTCTCTTCCTTGAAATGATACATTAATGTCTCTGGAAGGCTTCCAGAGTTTTTCCAGTAGTTCTCTTTAGTGGAATCTATTTATGCCATTAATTAATGTAATGTATAAATGTAATCCATTTAACCTCACCAATCTCAGTTGTCTTATTTGCTAAATGGGTTTAAATACAGTGCCTAATTCATAACTTAATGGTAAAAATTATACAAGAATATGCATGTAAAGCATAACACCATTGTTATATAATATAAAGTAAATTTTCAGTACATTTTAGCTGTTGTTATACATGTGATTGTCATCTCCAATGACAATATATATCATTGGAGGGATT
This sequence comes from Homo sapiens, assembly GCF_000001405.40. Classification (NCBI taxonomy): domain Eukaryota; kingdom Metazoa; phylum Chordata; class Mammalia; order Primates; family Hominidae; genus Homo; species Homo sapiens. The sequence goes on from NW_013171804.1 coordinate 87,211, forward strand.
CAGTTTGTAAATATTTCATTTATGGTTGTTGCAACTGCATTCATGAAAATGACTGAAGTTAATATTTATTTCTTTTGTATGTGTACTAAAATTTTGATATTAATGTTATCCTACTCTCATAAAATCAATTAGGATGGGTCCTTTTTTTATTCCCTGGAAGATTTTGTGTAGGATCGGTGTTACTTCTTATGTTTGGAAGAAATCACTGGGGTAAAGTCACCTTGGCCAGGCATTTTTTTTTCATGAGAATGTTTTAAAAAACATATTTAACCTCTAAAAGAAATGACAAGTCATATTTCCTATCTTTTCTTGTGTTCATTTTGGTAGTCTGTGTTTTTCTAAAAATTTGGCCATCTTTTAATTAAATTTTCAAATTAATTGGAATAAAATTTCTTAGTTATTTAGTAGGCTAAAAAAATGGTCTCCCAAAAGATAGTCATGTCTTAATCCTGGAAATTATGAATGTGACCTCATATGACCAACAACAACAACAACAAAAAGTTTTGCAGATGTGACTAAATTAAGGAACTTGAGAGGGGGGAGATTATTCTGGGTTCTTGAGTGGACCCTAAATGTGATCTCAGATATGCTTGTAAGAGAGAGGCAGACGAAGATTTCAGAGACAGAAAGAAAAGACAGGACCACAAAGGCAGAGATTGAAATGATACAGCCATAAGCCCGACCATGGGGTAGCTATCCAAAGCTGGAAGATAAACGGGACGGGCTTTCTCGCAGAACTTTGCGAAGCAGTGTGATCTAGCTGACACCTTAATTTTGACCCAGTGACTCTGATTTTGTTCTTCTGGCCAGAAATTCAAGAACTGTGAGAGAATAAATTTCTGTTGTTTTAATTCATCAAAAGGATTATGTGGTAATCCCTATTAAAACTTGTCCTGGCTGGGCGCCATGGCTCATGCCTGTAATCCCAGCACTTTGGGAGGCTGAGGTGGGCGGATCACCTGAGGTCAGGAGTTGGAGACCAGCCTGACCAACATGGCAAAACCCTATCTCTACTACAAATAAAAAAATTTAGCCCTCGTGGTGGCACATGACTGTAATTCTGGTTACTCAGGAGAATCGCTTGAACCTGGGAGGTGGAGGTTACAGTGAGCCTAGATAGCACCATTGCACTCCAGCCTGGGCAATAAGAGTGAGACTCCGTCTCAAAAACAAACAGACAAACAAACAAACAAAAAAACTTGTCTTAATACTGTAAGAATTTTCAACTGTATTTTTGTGTTTATTACAGAAGTTAATAGCTAAGTTTTTGAAACATTAATGCTTATGTTTGAATTCTTTGTGTATTTACGTTTATGCCTTTCTAAGTCATTGACTTTTTTTGTTAATATTTGCTTATTTTTCACATTGTGTGTGTCATAATAGTGTACCATGTTTCTAAGGTATGAGTATATTGTGAGCTCTATTCAAGTGTACCTCTTCCTCTCAAGCTTTTCTCCTCCTCTTCTTGGCAGGTACTTATCTTCTATATATTCTTATACTTCAAGGTTTGCAAGGACATTTTAAATTAGTCTTTTGGTTATTTACTGTAAAACTTTTGAATTTTCAAAATTAACCTCTTTATTTTGTTATAATATAGATTTGCATATGGTTGTAAGAAATAACACAGAGAGACATCAAATAGGCTTTATCCAGTTTCTCTCAGTGGTAACATCTTACAAACCTGTAACACAATCTCAGAACCAGAATATTGACATCAATACAATCTATTGATCTTGTCTAGATTTTTTTAGTTGTATTTGTACTTGTGTCTGTGTTTATATGTGAGTTTATTTAGTTCTATGCAATTTTATCACATGTAGATTTGTGTATTTAAACTAGAATGAAGACACAGAACTGTTCCATTACCTCAAGTGTCCCTCATGTTGTCCTTTTAACCACATTCACTTTTCTCTTCCCCACCTCTCCCGGCTACCAGTTCCTAATCTCTGGCAACACTGCTCTGTTCTCCACATCTATAATTTTGTCATTAAAAAATTATATACATAAATACATTTAATATTTAACCTTTTTTAGATTTTTTTCTCTCTCTTTTAGCTTTTACTTAGCATAATTTTCTCGAGATTCATCCAAATTGTTGAGTGTATTGATTTCTTTTTGTCCTTTTTATTACTGAGTGCTAGCCCATGAAATGGTGTATCACAGTTTTTTATCCATTTACCCATTGAAGTGGACATCTGGGCTGCTTACAGTGTTTAGCTACTAGAAATAAAATTTCTTTGAACATTTATGTACAGGTCTGTGTTAACATAGGTTTCCCCCTCCCAGGATAAATGCCCATGAATGCAATTACTGGTTGCATAGTAATTGCTTGTTTACTTTTATAAGAAACTGATGCTTCTTTGAGAAGCTATGCCATTTTACTTTCCACCAACAATGCATATGCAATCTTTGGATTTCTTTTAGTTTCTGACATTCACTATCATCTAGTATTTTAATAACTGCTTTTGTGTCACTTTTAACACTTAATTGCTAGGACACCACATTAAAGTCTTTCTCATCTTTATCTTGCAACTGATGTTTTACAAAAAATTTTCTTTTTTCTTTTGAGATGGAGTCTCACTTGTCCCCAGGCTGGAGTGCAGTGGCGCACTCTCAGCTCACTGCAGTCTCCGTCTCCCTGGTTCCAGCAATTCTCCTGCCTCAGCCTCCCTAGTAGCTGGGATTACAGGCGCGTGTCACCATACCTAGCTAATTTTTGTATTTTTAGCAGAGATGGGGTTTCACTATGTTGGCCAGGATGGTCTCGATCTCCTGACCTTGTGATCTTCCCTCCTTGACCCCCCAAAGTATTTGGATTACAGGTGTGAGGCACGGCTCTCGGCCTACAAAAATTTCTTTATGGGAAAATATTTGGACATCTGAAAAATAATTTCCGGGTAATAGGCAAATATCTTCATTGTCTTCAATTCTGTAGTAAGATTTCATATATACAAAGGAAAATAAAAAGCACCCACTTAAGAAAAAACAAATTAAGAATATGCTTTTATTCAATAAGACTACAGTGTATGAGAAAACCTGACGGAAGTTCTAAAGATATTGCTATACTTAAAGGTTTCTCAAGGTGGAACTTTAAATTCCCAAGACAAGAACTAATTTAGTGACATATTAAGACATTTAAATACCATTGCTAAATGAAAATAGCCCCAAATTAATTTTTCCAAAATCGAAAAAGTATCTTTATTTATAAGTCAATGCTTATTAAAAGAGCAGTAAATACAAAAAAAGTATAAAGAAGAAAATAAAATTAGCCACAGTAGTATTCACACACAAAAAACTGGCTTTCATACATTCATGACTTAAACGTCTTTGTGACTAGAATGAGCTGGTTTGGGAAGAGAGAAAAGTGGTTAATTTTAAGAAATGGGATTAAAGTGAAAGGACTGTAAACTTAAAGCATTACTGACAGAATGTAGTGAGCACAGACTCAAAGCAAGAAGAGTTATCATGATGCTACCTTAACTGTTCAGTAACAACCTTAGATTGCTGGCTCCAGCCTTGTATTGAGGCCTTCAAGCCAGCAAAGTTATAAACTCTTTTATTAAATGCCAATTATTTAGTTTCTTGTAGTGACCAGTGTCGTGCCTGACTCAGCACCTTCTAAACTTAACCATTGTGAATTGAGTTTATGAAGGCAGTGTTAGAATGTAAAGATGAAGGAAACATGTATACCTCTTAATTTAATATGGAAACCTCAGGTATTATACAAAACCAATCCTAGCAGCACTGGAAGAGGAGCAGTATAAAAATGAGTTCACTAAAGCAGTGCCAGATTGAATCATCTAGCTATTGTGTAATGTTAGCTTGAGGATCATCTATTGCTTATTATTTCACCAGTGGAGAAAAAGAACCTATAAAATTAAAAGAAAAAAAGGCTTTCTCCTAGGTGTCTGTGAGAGAACAGAGTTTAAAGTAAATCAACACTTCACTGGAAAATATTTCCCTAGTTGTTTCCTCTATGGACAAAGTCCTTGAGGAATCAGTCATGTATTTCAAGTGTCAGCAGAGCTTAGGAGAACAGCTGAGCTTCATAACTCTTAGCATTTTATTTATTCACAAGGAAATATTGACTTAAATTAGCTAGATTCTGTCTTGGTGTCACTTGATTCTCTAGACTTACACAGAGGTTGGAGAAGGAATTTATGCAATTCAAAGACGCCAACTTGTCAAGGAGTAAATCAATGTGATTTTCACAAAGCCAGTTTTACATAAGGCGTCTTGTAATTCTACAAGAAATATGCTATTTTCCTTTCATTCCATTATAGAAATATAGAAAAACAGTTATAATAAATTAATATATGTTCCCATTCTCATTTTTCTTTGAGCATAGGTAGCAACATCGATCCAAATGATTCAAAGACTTTAAGTTGACCCATTCAACTTTATCCAAATTTTGAAGAGAATAATATGCCTGAAGTTGAAAATCAAGGGCACATTCCTTCACATTTTGCCCATTTGAAAAAAGGGGACAAAACCCATAAGGCTCTATACAGTTTTTCTTGATTAGTTACAGTCTTTTAAATTATTTTAAAATAAAAGCAATAAGCACTTTTAACTTAATCTTTGTATTCAGCCATAAGAACACACTACCTGTTCTTATGTACTGAAGCCTCATTTGAAGATCCTATAATCACTGCACTTTGGCATTGTATGGAAATCTTAATAATTTTTTAGTTCAGGATTTACATTTATCACACTTTATAAGTAAAACACTCAATGTGCTAAGCAGTGTGTCTAGTTTAAGTAACTAATAAGTGGCAGTCAAGGCTAGAATCCAGAGTACCTTAGTTGCTACTGCTAGTGTCCCCACTAGCACTACCTTTATTATGATTATTATTGAGACAGGATCTCACTCTGCCTCCAGGGCTGGAGTGCAGGCTGTAGTGCAGTGCCTCCCCCAGCTCACTGCAGCCTCGAATTTCTGGGCCCAAGTGATCCTCCCACCTCTGCCTGCTGAGTGATTGGGACCACAGGCATGCACCACCATACCCAGCTAATCTTTTAATTTTTTTGTAGAGACAGGGTCTCCCTATGTTGCCAGTGCTACCTTTAAATACCCAGTAAAACACATTTAATTCTTTCTGTGGCACGTAAAACTTGGAGTGGCTTGCATGACCCTTTCGCCTCTACCCTGAACTTTTATATTCATTCCCTGTGTAATCAATGCTCTCCCCTTGAGTTTGGACAAGGCACACAACTTCTCATTAGTAAATATGGCAAAGGTGAAGGGCTATTGCAGATATGCAATTTAGATGCCAAATAGGTTGATTTTGAGTTAGTCAAGAGGGAAATTATCCTGGGTGGGCCTGACTGAATCAGGTAAAAGCCCTTACAAAAAGAACTAGGCCTTCTCTGAAGTTAGAGATTTTACATAGGAGAGAGTCTTCTTGCTGGCTTGGTGATGCAAGCAGTCAGGTTGAGGAAGCCTAAGTTGCAGGGAACTGTGAGTAGCCCCTGGGAACTATGGATGGCCTCTGGTCCCTGAGGTCAGCCTCTAGCCTCCAATCAGCAAAGGGTGGGGGCTTTCATCCACACAGACCAAAGCAATATTAATTCTGACAACAACTTGAATGAAACTAGAAGAAAAATTTTCCCCAATCAAACCTACAGATGAAAATGCAACCCGGCTGATAATACATGACCATGTAAGATCTCAAAGAGAGGGCCCAGATAAGCTATAACTGGGCTCTTGATTCATAAAAACTGGGAGAAAACAAGTGTGTGTTATTTTAAGCTGCTAATTTTGTGGTAATTTGTTACTCTAATATAGAAAAGTAAAGCGCTTTGTAAGTGGAGTATTTCCCCGTCATACTTGAGAGTAAAATATGCTTTTAACCTGTTTGTGTATAACACATAGAAATGGTCTGCTGTTTTGCAGTCTTGCTTCACACATCACACCCCTTCCTCATCACTGCACAGTCATATCAGAGCTCCTGCCAGACCGAAGAAGTGATTGTTTCCTCAGGCAGTGATTTGCAGATGTTTGATTTTGCAAAGCAGGATAATTTTAAAAAATGTTTTGGCCACAGACATAGTGTTACCAAACTTTAAATTAACTGCATAACAACATTTTAAAAACACCAGCTACTATATAATTATTTTATCATTAAAAACCAAAATATAATACCAAAAAGCTTAGTAGGGTTAGAATCTCAGAAAGAAAAGAGTCTTTCTCACGAACAAAGAGCTGGCAACTTACACACACACACACACACACACACACACACACACACACACACTCCTTAATATTCCCATTTTGCCATTGACCAGAATAAACAGAGCATTGTCACAGATTGCTACCAGACTATACACAATGTCATTTGGAAGCCAATGTTGTAAGAAGTTGTTTTAAAAACCACTGGGTAGAGCAGATGGCATCCTCTGCTACTTCGTTCAGGCTGCTTACTATCTTTCAAGATTAAGATGCTTTTATGAAGGAGTGAACTAGAAATGTACAAGCTGTCTTTTTATACCCCACTAATTATACTTTTATAAAAATATTTCTTCATCTACAGAGCACCTCTTATTTGCCACATACTATTCTACATAGTCAGTATCTATCATGTCACTGAGTCTTCATTAGAGTCCTGTGATTTGTATTACTATGATAATCGTCATTTTGCACATGGGAAATCTTACGTAGCAGGGACTTGACGAAAGTGAAGTGATCTTAAGTTATTTAGCCCACACTTTTAAACACTATGTTAGAATGTTACATGGAGTCACATTTTGCCTTGTGTATATTCCTTTTTGTCCATATTGATTTCACACATAGATTAATCTAGAAAACTGAATGAGCATTTCATGGAAAACAGGATATAAGACAAGTATGAAGGCATATAAAAAATTACGTGCCATCTTGAACAGATCTCTACTGACAGCATATTTGAGAGAGATTTTCGATTTGAGGATCTCAAACATGGAAGTTCAGAATAAAACTTAAAGGACAGCTTTTCAATAATATAATGGTGAAACCAATGGAAGAAATCAGTGGAGAAATAAAAAGGGGTAAAGAAAGACGAGAGAATGTTGAGGGAAACACTAATTAGTAATAACATGGTTGAGGTTCCTCTTGGAAACCACCCAGAATCTAACTTGAACTCAGATTCAACGAAGATTTATTTACTGTTCATTTTGTACAAGCACTGTGCAAGGCATTGTTACATGTTTTCTAGTGATTATCAGAGTCATAAGCTTGTGGACTCTCGAATCAGATGATCTGGCTTTCAATAATATATCTGAGATGGTATGCAAATAGGACAATATGGGACTTCTTTTTTTAAAAAATCAAATATTTGGTTATGAATAATTTTATGTGTCAATATGGCTAGATCATGGTACTCAGTTGTTTGGTCAAACACTTGTGTAGATGTTACTCTAAGACTATTTTTCAGTTGCGATTAACATTTACCACCAGTTAAGTAAAGCAGACAATCCTCCATAATATGAATGGGTCTCATTAAATTTGCTGAAGGCCAAGACTGAGGTTTCCCCAAAAAGAAGAAATTTTACCTGCAGACTGCAACATAGAAATTCTACCTTAGTTTCGAGCCTTCAGATGCAAGACTCTTAACTGCACCTCCAGCCTGTCGGCTTGCCCTATTAATTTTGGACTTGTCAGCTCCCACAATTATGTAAATCAATTTCTTAAAATAAATCTCTGTATATATGTATATCCTATTGTGCCTGTTTTTCTGAAAAACCCTGACTAATACATATGCCAGCTGAACTAAATGCCAGTTCTAATTCTCCAAAATCCATTAAAAATCCTCATTTTTATATTATATGTGATAATCCATATATAATATACTAAATGTAATTAAGCATCTAGTCTGTGTAATATTGGTCTCAACAGTTTCCCCACCTGTAAAATAAGGACTAATTATAGTATAACCTTCCAGAAAAGTGGGAATTATGTGAGATGTCAAGTGGGTAGCATAGTGCCTGACACACCTAAGATTTCATTAAATAGAAGCTGTTTTGTTATCCTTAAAATAATCCCACAAAAAAATATTATTTAGAGATGAAAAAACTAAAGCTGAGAGAAGTTTAAATAGCTCTTAGGATATTAAGCCACTTATTTTGACAGTGAAATGATGGTTACTTTTCTGAATATAGCTTCCTTTTTCCTGAGTTTTATTGATCTTCAATGGGATAAATGTGCTGATGGCTGAAATACTGAAGTTTACATGAAGAATAATTGAAAAGAGATAAGGAGTAGCACAGGGTATAAAACAAGTAAAACACAATTTGTAAAAATGATCATTGATAATGAAAATGCTTTAGGATTGATTCACATATACGCAAATTTTGGTGGAACACTCACTAAAACAGATTTTCAACATTTAGCAGTCAGGGTTGACACTGGGATTATTGTAGAATTCTGAGAAGTGATCAAAATTGAGACTTGTAATTTCTTTCCACCTTATGTTTTATGGATTTGGTAGAATTTGGGAGTGAAATATAGACCAAGACTATGTAAATATTTTAAATCTGGCTCATATTTTATTATATATATAAAAGATGATCAGTGATGTTAAGCACCTTTCATGTGCCTGTTTGCCATTTGTATGTCTTCTTTTGAGAAATGTCTATTCAGAGCTTTTGCCCATTTTTAAATCAGATGATTACTTTTTTTTTCTGTAGAGTTGTTTGAGCTCCTTGTATATTCTGATTATTAATCCCTCATGAGATGTACGGTTTGCAAATATTTTCTACCATATATATGTAAAATATAACATGTAAAATAATCAGTTTTAGAACAAATTTAGGTTTCATTCTGAGGAAAAGAAATTACAATTTAGTTTGGGAGGTATTTTGGGCAAAAAAAAAAAAGTCCTATATTATCCTATCATGTACCTTATCACAGATCACTGACAATATAGAACAAAGATGGTCTTGTTTATTTTATTTGTTTAATGTTTATTGCAACTTTAATTATAATTGTACAAAAAGAGAAGAAAACAAAAATTCCCTACAAAAAGATAATGGTCAAATGCTTATTGTACTTTCCTATGAAATTATTATAATTATTTTGCTTTTGATAATCTGTGTTTAAAAATTTTTAATTTTTAATTTTTGTGCATACATAGTAGGTGTATATATTTTTAGGGTACATGAGATATTTTGATCCAGGCATATGATGCATAATAATTACAACAGGGTAAATGGGTATATCCCATCACCTCAAACATTTATCCTTTCCTTTTGTTACAAACAATACCATTATACTCAGTTATTTTTAAAAGTATAATAAATTTTTGTTGACTGTAATCACCCCGTTGTACTTTCAAATACTAGATATTATTCATTCGATATCGGTATTATTTATTTTTATTTTTATTATACTTTAAGTTCTAGGGTACATGTGCACAACGTGCAGGTTTGTTACATATGTATACATGTGTCATGTTGATGTGCTGCAACCATTAACTCGTCATTTACATTAGATATATCTCCTAATGCTATCCCTCCCCCATCCCCCACCCCACAACAGGCCCTGATGTGTGATGTTCCCCACTCTGTGTCCAAGTGTTCTCATTGTTCAATTCCCACCTGTGAGTGAGAACATGCGGTGTTTGCTTTTCTGTCCTTGTGATGGTTTGCTTAGAATGATGGTTTGCAGCTTCATCCATGTCCCTACCAAGGACCTGAACTCATCCTTTTTTATGGCTGCATAGTATTCCATGATGTATATGTGCCACATTTTCTTAATTCAGTCTTTCATTGATGGAAATTTGGCTTCTTTCCAAGTCTTTGCTATTGTGAATAGTGCCGCAATAAACATACGTGTGCATGTGTCTTTATAGCAGCATGATTTATAATCCTTTGGGTATATACCCAGTAATGGGATGGCTGGGTCAAATGGTATGTCTAGTTCTAGATCCTAGAGAAATCGCCATACTGTCTTCCACAATGGTTGAACTAGTTTATAGTCCCACCAACAGTGTAAAAGTGTTCCTATTTCTCTACATCCTCTCCAGCACCTGTTGTTTCCAGACTTTTTAGTGATCACCATTCTAACTGGTATGAGATGGTATCTCACTGTGGTCTTGATTTGAATTTCTCTGATGTCCAGTGATGATGAGCATTTTTTCATGTGTCTGTTGGCTGCATAAATGTCTTCGAGACTTCATCCACTTTTTGATGGGGTTGTTTGATTTTTTCTTGTAAATTTGTTTAAGTTCTTTGTAGATTCTGGATATTAGCCCTTTGTCAGACGGGGAGATTGCAAAAATTTTCCCCCGTTCTGTAGGTTGCCTGTCCACTCTGATGGCAGTTTCTTTTGCTGTGCAGAAGCTCTTTAGTTTAATTAGTGTAAGTGTTATTTTTGTACCCATTAACCGTCCCCTTTGCTCCCCTGTCTAGTACTCCTCCCAGCCTCTGGTAAGTATCATTCTACTCGCTATCTCCATGAGTTCAATTATTTTCATTTTTAGCTTCCACAAGTAAGTGAGAACATATAATGTTCGTCTTTCTGTGCCTGCATTATTTCACATAATATAATGTCCTTCAGTTCCATCTCTGTTGTTGCAAATGACAGGATCTCATTCTTTTTCATAGCTGAATAGTACTCCACTGTGTGAATGTACATTTTCTTTATCCATTCATCTGAGGATGGACATTAGGTTGCCTCAAAATCTTGGCTATTGTGAATAGTGTTGCAATAAACATGGAAGTGCAGATATCTCTTCAATATGATAATTTCCTTTTTTTTTTTTTTGGTTATATACCTAGCTGTGGGATTGCTGGAACATATGGTAGCTCTATTTTTAGTTTTTTGAGGAAATTCCAAACTGTTCTCCATAGTGATTGTACTAATTTACATTCCTACCAACAGTGTACAAGGGTTCCCTTTTCTGCACATCCTTGGTAGAATTTGCTGTTGCCTGTCTTTTGAATAAAAGCCATTTTAACTGGGATAAGGTGATCTTATTGCAGTTTTGATTTGCATTTCTCTGATGGTCAATGATGTTGAGCACCTTTTCATATACCTGTTTGCCATTTGTATGTCTTCTTTTGAAAAATGTCTATTCACATCGTTTTGCCCATTTTAAAATCAGATTATTAGTTTTTTTTTTTTTTCTGTAGAGTTGGTTGAGCTCCTTATATATTCTGGTTTTTAACCCTTCATGAGATGTGATGTACAGTTTACAAATATTTTCTTCCATTCTGTGGGTTGTCTCTTCACTATGTTGAATGTTTCAAAGATGGTTTTATTAATGAAAAAATACCATGGGTGTATATTTCTCCATAGTTCATAGAAGCAGAATGGGGATGAATTCAGGTGACTGAAAATGTTATTATCTTGAATAAGCTTAATGGATCTATTTCCTAATGTAGTAAGTCTTTTCCATTGCTAACTTTGGTGATTTTTATTATTAAACAAAGTCAATATAAGATGTGGTTGGTTCATCTGGATTAAAATACATACACATGCCAGAATCTATTACTCCTTTTTTATGTTTATAGAGATCCACAAAAATTGATGTGAAGAGCCAGTTTTCTAAAACTAATAGCGGAGAGTGTCATGCAAAGATTTGTGACTAAATGTGTATACTTATAGCTTAATGCACCCTGATTGGGAGAGCCTTGTGAAATATCACTTTACTGGGGGAGGGAGGAGTAGTCACATATGATGGTCCACAGTTAAACACACAGCTATGCCTACCTATACAAGATAAAGATGAAGCACATGGAACATTTCCTTGGAAATGTGAAAGGGAATGACCCCAGCTTAACCTGAGTCAGTTTTGTATTCAAATAGTCCCTCTGTGTACATTTTCTCCTTTCTCTCAAACTTGAATGAGCTCTAAAATAAATATCTATTTACATTGAAGCCATTGAGCATTTATCTACCTGACCATAGCCTAGAAATAAGAGTGAATAAGAAAAAGGAAAAAGTTTACGCTTTGTATTTTGTAAATGTATGCTAGATTTCTATACAGATATTTTCAAGGGCCTTGACATTTTCAATGGCTTATGAGATATTCTAAGACCTTCATATAACATTTGAGTCCTTGAAATCAAATTTATTGGCTTTGGAATACAAAAAAGAACCCATAAAATCAAAATGAATAAATGTTTAATTAAATGTCTGCAAGACATAACATTATGTAAACGTCATTAATTATTAAATTTAGTATTCATAAAAGTTTTATTGAATTTGAAAACAGTTTGCTGGATATATTTTTTCCACTTCGCAAGAATTTCTGAGTTCTGCTGAAAAATCATGGCCCATCCTTAATTATATCATAGTTAAATAATTTCAAAAACAAAATTACAACATTCCTTTCCAGAATTTTGCAGTAAATAATTAATGTTGAATGTGGGTGTGCTTTCATATGTTTGTTATGAGGCATGCTGTGGCTTCGAAAGGGCTGACCAAGTTCTTAAAACAGCTCCACTTTGAATTCTTCCATTGCTTGCTGTGCCATGATAGATAAGAAAGAAATACTTGGCTCATGTTCCACTTTTTTATTATAAAACCTTTCAAACTAGGGGAAGCCTTAGATTGTGTTCTCCAGAAGCAGTCTCTGGGAAAGGAGTTGTGTTTAGAAGGTTTTTTTTACTGGGGAGTGTTCTCAGGAGATACAGCTGCAGGAAAGTATGGATGGCAAAGGCAAAAACTATCAGCAATATGGTTGCAACAGAGGACCCAGTCGATCCTGCAGTGAGCTCTGGAGCTGGGATGGCCCTTCAGAATTGTGCCAAAATATTGGGGCAGTGGGATGGGACTTTATTTATTTGTAATTGAAAAATAATAACTGTACATATTTATAAAGTACAATAGTTTCAATACTCAATATATAGTGATCAGATCAGGGTAATTAGCATATTTCAATACTCATAATGTTGAGTGATCAGATCAGGGTAATTAGCATAGCCATGTTTCAATACTCATGATGTATAGTGATCAGATCAGGGTAATCAGCATATCCATCATCTCAAATATTTATCATTTATTTGTGTTGGTAATGTTCAGTATTCTCCTTCTAGTTATTTGAAACTATATATTACTGTTAACTATGGTCATCCTACAGTGCCACAGAACACTATAACTTATTCTTGCTATCTAGATGTAATTTTGTATCCTTTAACAAATCTCTCCTTATTCCTCCTTTCCCCCACCCTTCCCAGCCTCTAATATCCTCTGTTCTACTGTTTACTTACATTAGATCAAATTTTTTTTAGCTTCCACATATGGGTGAGAGCACACAGCATTTAACTTTTTGTTTCTGGCTTATTTCACTTAATATCCTTCAGTTCCATCTATGTTGCCATACATGACAGGATTTTATTCATTTTTATGGCTGAATAATATTCCATTTTGTATATGTTAATTCCATATCTTGGCTATTGTGAATAGAGCTGCAGTAGATGTGAGATGCAGATGTCTCTTCGATCTTCTTTGCTTTGGATAGATTCTCAGTAGGGGGATTGCTGGACAATATGTAGTTGCATTTGTAGTTGTTTGAGGAACCTTCATACTGTTCTCCATAGTGGTTGCACTAGTTTACAATTGGACTGGGGCCTCTGAGTCCCTGAATTAGTTAGCTGTCGGTCTCATATCTCCTCTGGGAGGTGACATAACCTTTGGCAGGCAGCTCTTGACAGCTGACAGAAACACTTTAGGGAGGGGATCAGGACACAGAGGATCACAATATGTATGCACTTATGTACTTTAAGGAGTATTAGATTTCTCACACCAAAATTCAGCCCATATGCTGTGGTTATGACAAAGGTAGATTAAGGAGAGCTAGGATTTCATCCAGTTCATGAGTTTACCAGATTAATACATTGGTGATGATGTGTTGCTGGAATAAGGGTGCCCTTAGTTTCTACTGATGTTTAATATTTAAGTGTGCACAGTATGCTTGATGAAGCTACCAATACAATATTAAATGTTCAATGACATCCCGAACATTCTAAATTCAGTTATTGGTATTTTATGTGATCATGTAGAATTCTGGGTTTAATCTAATTTAGTCAAATCATAACCCATAGTTATTGTCTATTGAGCATCTATCACTGTACTAGATCCCTGAATGCATTATATTACTCATTTCTCAATTTACATCTCCCATGTTAAAAATAGAAAGCTGATGTCTAGAGAGTTTATACAACTTATCCAAGTTTACACATGGTGTAAGAGATGACCAAATATCTTTGATTCCAAAGACTTTTTCTCTGCCAATTTACCATGTTGCCACTCTAGAATGACATTTTTAAATCCTTCAAAATACATGGAAAAGTAATTTAAAACGGTTGTGCTCAAAAAGGTGACAAAAAGCTGTATGTGAATACTGATTTTATAATAAAAGTCGCTTGCTACTACTATGTGCCACATATTGTTTGAAGCACTTTACTTGAATAGACCCTTTACAACTTTAGAAATGATATCCTATCATCTTATTATCCTCTTTTTTGAGGTTGGTAAAATAATATACAAATAGGGTTAGGTAATTCCCAAGATTACATAGCTACAGGCAGTAGAGATAGCATGTGACTCCTGCAGTCTGACTCCAGAGCTTCCCACTTAATCACAAAGCTCTATCTCTCTTCTGGGTCTATCCCACTTAACCAGAAGTGGGATTCTAAACTGTGTACTACATTGTTTTAAAAAGCAAATGTTCCCTTGGGAGGGTGTATGTGTTCAGGAATTTATCCATTTTTTCTAGAATTTCTAGTTTATTTGCATAGAGGTGTTTACAATATTCTCTGATGGTAGTTTGTATTTCTGTGGGATCAGTGGTGATATCCCCTTTATCATTTTTTATTGCATCTATTTGGTTCTTCTCTCTTTTCTTCTTTACTCATCTGGCTAGCGGTCTATTTTGTTAATCTTTTCAAAAAAACAGCTCCTGGATTCACTGATTTTTTTAAAGGGTTTTTCATGTCTCTATCTCCTTCAGTTCTGCTTTGATCTTAGTTATTTCTTTTCTTCTGCTAGCTTTTGAATTTGTTTGCTCTTGCTTCTCTACTTCTTTTAATTGTGATGTTAGGGTGTTGATTTTAGATCTTTCCTGCTTTCTCCTGTGGGCATTTAGTGCTATAAATTTCCCTCTAAACACTGCTTTAGCTGTGTCCCAGAGATTCTGGTACATTGTATGTTTGTTCTCATTGGTTTTAAATAACTTATTTATTTCTGCCTTAATTTCATTATTTACCCAGTAGTCATTCAGGAACAGGTTGTTCAGTTTCCATGTAGTTGTTCGATTTTGAGTGAATTTCTTAATCTTGAGTTCTAATTTGATTGCACTGTGGTCTGAGAGACTGTTTGTTATGATTTCCATTCTTTTGCATTTGCTGAGGAGTGTTTTACTTCCAATTATGTGGTCAATTTTAGAATAAGTGTGATGCACTCCTGAGAAGAATGTATATTCTGTTGATTTTGGGTGGAGAATTCTGTAGATGTCTACTAGGTCTTCTTCTTCCAGAGCCGAGTACAAGTCCTGAATATCCTTGTTAATTTTCTGTCTCGTTGATCTATCTAATACTGACAGTGGGGTGTTAAAGTCTCCCAGTATTATTGTGTGGGAGTCTAAGTCTCTTTGTAGGTCTCTAAGAACTTGCTTTATGAATCTGGGTGCTCCTGTATTGGGTGCATATATATTTAGGAGAGTTAGCTCTTCTTGTTGCAATGATTCCTTTACCATTATGTAGTGCCCTTCTTTGTCTTTTTTGATCTTTGTTGGTTTAAAGTCCGTTTTATCAGAGACTAGGATTGCAACTCCTGCTTTTTTTTTTTTTTGCTTTCCATTTGCTTGGTAAATATTCCTCCATGCCTTTATTTTGAGCGTATGTGTGTCTTTGCACGTGAGGTGGGTCTTAGTCAAATCCCTGAATAGACCATAACAAGTTCTGCAACTGAGGCAGTAATTAATAGACTACCAACCAAAAAAAGCCCAAGACCAGACAGATTCACAGCCAAATTCTACCAGAGGTACAAAGAGGAGCTGGTACCAATCCTTCTGAAACTATTACAAACAATAGAAAAAGACGGACTCCTCCCTAACTCATTTTATGAGGCCAGCATCATCCTGATACCAAAACCTGGCAGAGACACAACAAAAAAAGAAAATTTCAGGCCACCCCAATGAACATCGATGCAAAAATCCTCAATAAAATACTGGCAAACCGAATCCAGCAGCACATCAAAAAGCTTATCCACCACGACCAAGTTAGCTTCATCCCTGGGACACAAGGGTGGTTCAACATATGCCAATCAATAGACATAATCCATCACAAACAGAACCAATGACAAAAATCACGTTTGTCTCAACAGATACAGAAAAGGCCTTCAATAAAATTCAACACCGCTTCATGCTAAAAACTCTCAATAAACTAGGTATTGATGGAATGTATTTTAAAACAATAAGAGGTATTTATGACAAACCTAAGACACAAGACAAGGGTGCCCTCTCTCACCACTCCTATTCAACCTGGTATTGGAAGTTCCGGCCAGGGAAATCAGGCAAGAGAAAGAAATAAAGGGTATTCAATTAGAAAAGAGGAAGTCAAATTGTCTTTCTTTGCGGATGACATGATTGTATATTTAGAAAACCCCATCGTATCAGCCCCAAATTTCCTTAAGCTGAGAAGCAACTTCAGCAAAGTCTCAGGATACAAAATCAACATGCAAAAATCACAAGCATTCCTACACACCAATAATAGACAAACAGAGAGCCAAATCATGAGTGAACTCCCATTCATAATTGCTACAAAAAGAATAAAATACCTAGGAATATAACTTGCAAAGGATGTGAAGGACCTCTTCAAGGAGAACTACAAACCACTGCTCAAGGAAAACAGAGAGGATACAAACGAATGGAAAAACATTCCATGCTCATGGATAGGAAGAATCAATATCATGAAAATGGCCATACTGCCCAAAGTAATTTATAGATTCAATGCTATTCCCATTAAGCTACCATTGACTTTCTTCACAGAATTAGAAAAAACTACCTTAAATTTCATATGGAACCAGAAAAGAACCTGTATAGTCAAGACAATCCTAAGCAAAAAGAACAAAGCCGGAGGCATCACATTGCCTGACTTCAAACTACACTACAAGGCTACAGTAACCAAAACAGCATGATACTGGTACCAAAACAGATATATAGAACAATGGAACAGAACCCAGGCCGCAGAAATAACACCACACATCTACAACCATCTGAGCTTTGACAAACTTGAGAAAAACAAGAATGGGGAAAGGATTCCCTATTTAATAATCCTGGTGTTGGGAAAACTGTCTAGCTATATGCAGAAAACTGAAACTGGACCTCTTCTTTATACCTAATACAAAAATTAACTAAAGATGGATTAAAGACTTCAATGTAAGACCCCATACTATAAATCTCCTAGAAGAAAACCTAGGCAATACCATTCAGGACATAGGCATGGGCTAAGGCTTCATGACTAAAACATCAAAGCAATAGCAACAAAAGCCAAAATTGACAGATGGGATCTAATTAAGCTAAAGAGCTTTTGCACAGCAAAAGAAACTATCATCAGAGTGAACAGGCAACCTACAGAATGGGAGAAAATCTTTGCAATCTATCCATCTGACAAAGGGCTAATATCCAGAACCTATAAGGAACTTAAACAAATTTACAAGAAAAAAAATAAACAACCTCATTAAAAGTGGGCTAAAGATTTGAATAGACACTTCTCAAAAGAAGACATTTATGCAGCCAAAAAACATATGAAAAAAAGCTCATCATCACTGGTTATTACAGTAATGCAAATCAAAACCACAACAAGACACCATCTCACACCAGTTAGAATGGTGATCATTAAAAAGTCAGGAAACAACAGATGCTAGAGAGGATGTGGAGAAATAGGAACACTTTTACACTGTTGGTGGGAGTGTAAATTAGTTCAACCATTGTGGAAGACAGTGTGGTGATTCCTCGAGGACCTAGAACCAGAAATACCGTTTGACCCAGCAATCCCATTTCTGGGTATATACCCAAAGGATTATAAATCATTCTACTATAAAGACACATGCACATGTATGTTTATTGCAGCACTATCACAATAGCAAAGACTTGGAACCAACCCAAATGCCCATCAATGATAGACTGGATAAAGAAAATGTGGCACATTTACACCATGGAATACTATGCAGCCATGAAAAAGGATGAGTTCATGCCCTTTGCAGGGACATGGATGAAGCTAGAAACCATCATTCTCAGCAAACTAATACAGGAACAGAAAACCAAACACCGCATGTTCTCACTCATAAGTGGGAGTTGAACAATGAGAACATATGGACACAGGGAGGGGAACATCACACACACCAGGGCCTGTCAGGGGTTGGGGGTCTAGGGAGGGATAGTATTAGCGGAAATAACTATTGCAGATGACAGGTTGATGGGTTCAGCAAACCACCAGGGCATGTGTATACCTATGTAACAAACCTGCATGTTTTGCACATGTATCCCAGAATTAAAGTATAATAATAGTAAAAAAGTTCCCACTGACACACATTTCTGGGAGCCAAAGTCAATGTATTTAAAGGACTGTAAATGAATGGGATCTGAGAGTGTTATTTTTAAGCAGAGGTAATGTACTGGCCTCTGTCCCTAACAATGGTAGTAAAAATATACTCCAAATGACACACACTATAGCAAAATGTGGGCAAGGTGCTTAGAGAAGGACACTTGAAAGAGGAAGAGTAGATTGCTTCATAGTTCACGGACTGTTGTTTTGATCTCTCATCAAAAGAGCCATCCAAACAGATCTCTACATTTATCAAAATATCAACATTTTATTTTCTCTAATGTTTAAATATTTCTTAGCCACTTTCTCATATGTATTTTTAAGACTATAAAATGAAGAAAACTTTTCATCAACCATTTTTAGCACAGACAGGGAAAGATTATTTTTCCCTGAAAATATTCCTTTAAAACTTCTATCTTTGCTACTGTATAGTTAAGCACAAAAGGAGATATTGATTATAATGTATGATTCTGTAATTTTATCATTATTTCATTACAAAACAATTTTTGTGGCTGCTCACAAGCCTGATAAATATATATTTAGTGATTTTTTTGGTCAACACTTAAAGTGACTTTCTCTTTCTGTCATTTTAATGGCATTGTGATAAAAAGATCAAGACTGAAAAGAAAGATAGACACAAGAACATATCACCTTTTAATTATTTTATAACTACCTATTTAGGATTCCTAGAATAAATATTCTACTTTTACCATTAAGTGTGAACATTTTATAATAATTACTTCCTTCTCTCTCAGAGAAAATGTTGGTTTTTGCCAAGGAAAATCTACAGCATGCAAATTCTTCTTTCAAGATGCGAATAGTGCATATGTAAGCTTTGACGGGTACTAATGGACATTTCTTCCTATTTTTGACCCTTAGGGTGAAAATAACAGCGCCTTATTATTTTTCAGGAAGAATAAGATCCATTTCCAAACAGTTTAGAAACTCAGGGCTTTTTTTCCCTCTTATAAATAGACAAATAAATGGTCACATTAGCACTTATACTTCATTGTGAGCCAAGGACATTTTTAAAATGTCACTACTCAGGGTTAATGCTCTTTTTTTTTTTGACATTTGGCCTTCAGATTTTTCTGCTTAATTGTCGGTTTGCCACCTCATTGCCATATACAGGGTCAAATGCATCTCTTTCCTTTCACATTGCCATAAGATATAAAGTCCAAATGTTTTAAATGTTTTATATATTGTGTACTACCAGACCTTTCCAAGCTCTATATTAATTTAAGCCTCTCGAATCTAGAGAAGTCTTCCGCTCAGGCTGAAATTGTCCCCAGGAAGGATTATCAGTTACTTGTGTCCAACCCTAAGCTGCTCACTTTTTAGCAGATGCTTGTGGTTTTGCTTTCTCCACCAGTGAAAACATTTTGGGCTAGCCTTACAAAAGTGAATACATATGCAACTTACACATATAATTTACTGATATATAGGAAAGTAAATAAATTTTCAAGGTGATTCTGTTAATGATTAACTAACTCACATAACTTGGACTTCAATTTTCTTTTTAAGTAAGGATCACTTCCAGAACGGCACCAAATCGAATTGAAGTGTGACCTCTATACATTTTTCACTAAAGATGACTTTTGAAAATATTCTAAATCTATGGGTATAGAATACTGAACCTCCTTCTGACTGGTACTATTCATTGAGACTAATTCACTGAGAGTGAGAAGCATAGTAGTTTTAGTTTTGATATGGAGATGTTTGGTTTAATCTAGAACGCATGCTGTTCATTATGGGCAGCCTATTGTGTCATGCCACACTTTGGGACAGTTACTGGGGGAAATGAAGAGAAAAGCTGTCCCTCTTAAGAAGGCTAGGAGCCTAAAGACTGATTTCTGTCTCACATCACCCTTTATATACTGATTTGCTTGTTTCCCACATTGGATTATTATCACCTTTATAAACCATTATAAGCCCTAGATTGGATTCTCAATTCTTGGCTGCCTTTTCAATCATTTAGCCACAACCATCTTGTCCTCACCCCTCCCTGCAGCTGTGGAAAGTGGGCTTAAATTGTTCCTAGGAAATATAGGTGGCTGAATTCTGTACATCAGGATGCCATTCCCTTGGTCCCAGCTGAAGTGACTAACAATGGACATCTATTTTAAGAGGATAATATTTGGGCTGGATAAAAGCATCTGGTGTGGCTTGGGCAAATGCTTTTTTAAAATGTGAACAAAGATGACTGGTTAGGTGAGTCACAGACTTCTGGGGAATTGGGCCAGTGAAACAAAAAAGTTGACCATAGCAAGCTGAAACTAAGAGATACAAAGGAATGATAGTGTGTAGGTACCATACAATAGCAAAAGCCAAAGAAACAGATGCCATGGGGAAGAGAAGAAAAGAGAAATAATGAAAAACAGTCATCATGGCTGAAGTGATATACAGAGTGACACACACAAGCTGAATTTTCCTAATTATGTCAGAGCTCTAATTCTTGCTCCTAGAAAAGCAAATACACACACAGAAAACACTGATTTCCATTGTCTCTGAGTTGGCTTTTTTTTCTCTCTTGGATTTTTCTCTCTGTTGTTTTTCCAACATTACTTAAGGTAAACTTAGTGAGTCCTCTAAAATATTTTATTACTATAAACGTGTGAAACATCTACAGATTTCCCCAGTTACCAAAGCAGAGATTTGGTCCTTGGCCCTGAAGAGTTGGTGTTTTCATAGTCAGAAATAGAATGTGCATAGATGAATGTAATAGAGAAGATAAATCACAAATAATAAAATTATAATTATACCTATTACCCATGTGTGACCATTTTTCAGTGGTTTACCGATAAGTTCAAGAATGAGAAAAACTGTGAGAAGGTCCGGAAGGCAGCCACTGTACTCCTGCATACTGAAGAGGCATTGTCCTTCCATAAAGAAATGTAGGTGGCATTTCAAGGAGGAAAAAGAACTAAGAACCAGGATTGAAATATGAGAAACATACAGAGAAGTGATTTCAAGGAAAATACAGAGAATTCTGAGTGCCAGATAAGTTACTTACATTGTGCTAGAGTTCATCACATACATAATCTCACTTAACCTTATGGAAAACATGGGGAAGTGAATATCCCAAACTACCAAAATAAGAAAGTCAAGGCTCAGGGAGCTTGTAGTAATTTTTCCAAAGTTAAATTTTAAATTCAAAGTCATTATTTTCTGGCTTTAAAATCCACATTCCTTTCATTTTCACAATATGCCTGCTCTTCACTCAACACAATCGCTTGATGTCAAATAGAACATAATAATCTTATTTTCCACCAGAGCCCTAAACTCTTTTTTTTTTTTTTTTTTTTTTTTTTGAGACAGAGTCTCACTCTGTTGCCTAGGCTAGAGTGCAGTGGCATTAGCTCACTGAAACCTCCACCTTCCAGGTTCAAGAGATTCTCTTGCCCCAGCCTCCTGAGTAGCTGGAATTACAAGCGTGCACCACCATGCCTGGCTGATTTTTGTATTTTTAGTAGACACGGGGTTTCACCAAGTTGTCCAGGCTGGTCTTGAACTCCTGACCTGAAGTGATCTGCTCGCCTCAGCCTTCCAAAGTGCTAGGATTACAGGCGTGAGCCACTGCACCCGGCCAGAGCCCTAAACTTTTGATTCTTGTGTCCTCATTCTTCCCTTGAACCTGCCAGAAAAGAAAGTTCTTCTAAATTTTAAAAGCTGTTAAGGAAGGGACAATCTTGAACTAATAAAATGAAATCTGGGCCGGGTGCGGTGGCTCACGCCTGTGGTCCCAGCACTTTGGGAGGCCGAGGCAGCTGGATCACCTGAGGTTGAGACTAGCCTGACCAACATGGTGAAACCCTGTCTCTACAAAAAATATAAAAATTAGCTGGGCATGGTGGCAGGCACCTATAATCCCAGCTACTCGGGAGGATGAGGCATGAGATTTGTTTGAACCCAGGAGGTCGGGGTTGCAGTGAGCTGAGATTGTGCCACTGCACTCCAGCCTGGGCGACAGAGTGAGACTTAGTCTCAGAAAAAAAAAAAAAAAAAAAAAAAAAAAAGAAGTCTGGCTTGCAGTAGATGGTCTCAAAGGACCTTCATACTTTACAAATATTAACACAGAGTACTCCATATTAGCCCTGGATATTCAAATAGAGCCTTGCCTAGCTTGCTGAGATTGCAGAAGACAAAGGTTTTCTTAGTATTTGTGGAGGCTCTGAAAGAACTTATGCCTGTGAGCTCTGGAGTCAGTGTCTGGATTTGAAACTTGACCCTGTCACTTCATAGCTATAGTTTAGCAAGTTACTTAATGTCTGTAGTCTCTGTTTCCTCAATGTGTTATAATAGGTAATTATAGATTTTCTGTATTAAATGAGTAAATATTGTAAAACACCTAGGACTGTGCCAGAACAATGATAAGCACTCAATAAATATGAGCTATTTTGAAGGGAACACAAGGGTTTTTCACTCAACATTACTCCTATTTTTACCCCCTAGTAAAAAGAAGGTCTTTCTCAAATAATTTGTGACTTGCTAAAAAAGTCAACAAAACCCTTTAATGTGGCTGTGTTTAAGTGTGTGTGTGTGTTGAGTGGGGTGGCATATGTAAGATATTCTTGTGTTGAAGGACTTGACACAGTTGACAGCTATCTTACTTTTAAAAGGGCTTTCTGTAAATGTTTAGAGAATAAATATTTTAGGCCTTATGAGCCATAGTCACAAATAATAGGTAAAGAAATAAGTGTGTCCTAATAATACTTTATTGGCAAAAACAGGCAGTGGGCCAGATTTGATCCAAGGTCTACAGTTTGCTGACTGCTACTATGGGCACAGTGCTCAAATAATGAGTATGTAGCTGGGACAATTGCTCCCCAGATTCAGTACGAATATTAATATTTGATCTGCGGCAGGCCATTTAACCTTTCTGACCAAAGTTTTTCATTCATGAGTTAGAATAAATGCTCCATGAAGCTTCTTTATGACTCTACTAACTCATAGTATGCAAGGGCCTACAAATTGATTCCATGTAGCAAAACTATCACTATTCTATTAAGGTTCCTAAACTTTCCTCTATTTCTTCTAAATAAAATCCTGCTTGCCTATTTAGGTTCTCCTCTCCAATTTTTCCTGACTGTTGATTTTGAGATTTTATAATGCAGAGTAAGAACGAAGGGTTGGTGTAGAAGGGTAATGTCAACATACTTGTCAGGGCTGGGGAAAATAGTTTTGTGAAGGTTTCCAAAGTAAGAAATAAGGAAACACCTATAATATGTGGGGAAAGCAGAAGGTAAAAAAAGTAGTAATGCTCTGCCATATTTACTCCTTTCACTGTGTTTGAAAAATGAAAAGAGACAAGTTTATTTTGAAATCTTTTCCAGTTTTTATTTTTTATTGATACATAATGTTTGTCCATATTTATGGGGTATATGTGATATTTTGATACATGCATACATGTGTAATGATCAAATTCAGGTATTTATGATATTCATCACATTGAACATTTATTCCTTTGCATTGGGAACATTTTAAATATTCCCTTCTAGCTATTTTGAAATATACAATATATTGTTGTTAACTACAGTCACCTTACTGTGCTATTGAACACTGGAATTCCTATGTTGTATGTTTGTACCCATTAACCTACCTCTCTTCATCTCCCTGGCCCTCCATACCCTTCTCAGCCTCTGGTAGCAATCATTCTATTCTCTACCTCTATAAGGTACACTTTTTTAGCCCCCACATATAAGTGAGAACACGCAATATTTGTCTGTCTATGCCTGGCTTATTTCAATTAACATAATGACCTCCAGTTCCATCTATATTGGTGCAAATGACAGGATTTATTATTTTTTGATGGTTGAAGATTATTGAATTGCTTTTTATTGTGAGCTGTGTGTCTTTAATCAGAACATCATTCTGAGATTGTACCACATGGGTAATGGCTTGTTAGATATTATATATTTATAATCATTCTAGTATTTCCACAGATTGAGTAGTGAATATGTCAGCGTTATTAGGTCTTCAGTGGCCATTATTGCAATTTTTATAAGCCTATTTTTGGATGAAGGGCAGAAGCTTCAGATAACAATAATAGTTGGCAGCCTGGCACTTTCATACAAACTTAAAAAACATTTTCATCTTCCTAAGTGAGGTAAAACTAATGATGACTCTTGAACAAAGACAATGTCCTTACTCAAAACATCAGTGATTTCAAGTTGCATCCTCTTTAGCTGAGTTGCTGCATTCTTCAAATAACTCTTAATGACATCTCAATGATATCTTATTCCATTGACAATGATGACAGGTTAAAAATTTCTTTAAATAGCTGTCTCCGGTCCGTGCCTCCAAGATGACAAAGAAAAGAAGGAACAATGGTCGTGCCAAAAAGGGCTGCGGCCACGTGCAGCCTATTCGCTGCACTAACTGTGCCCGATGCATGCCCAAGGACAAGGCCATTAAGAAATTCGTCATTCGAAACATAGTGGAGGCCGCAGCAGTCAGGGACATTTCTGAAGCGAGCGTCTTCGATGCCTATGTGCTTCCCAAGCTGTATGTGAAGCTACATTACTGTGTGAGTTGTGCAATTCACAGCAAAGTAGTCAGGAATCGATCTCGTGAAGTCCGCAAGGACCGAACACCCCCACCCCGATTTAGACCTGCGGGTGCTGCCCCACGTCCCCCACCAAAGCCCATGTAAGGAGCTGAGTTCTTAAAGACTGAAGACAGGCTATTCTCTGGAGAAAAATAAAATGGAAATTGTACTTTAAAAAAAAAATTTCTTTAAATAGCTGCGTATTTTTCTGGAACTGTACATTTCTGTAAATCTCCAATCACCTTATGACTCTGGTTCTTACTAAAGTTTTATTCCTTTAAAAAATACCTTGTTAGTCTTGCAGATTGTTTCCCAAGACTTCAGTAGGCTTATAGGAATTCTAGGTAGCTTCAATATGGACATTTGTCCTACAGCAATTAGTAATAGTCCCCATTTCCAGTATCAACTCTTAAAACTCCTTTTCATAGTAATAAGCCTATTCAGCACTTTGGACAGTGCCTAACACACTCAGTAAGTATTTGTGGAATGAGAAGTAAGTGAACAGTCACAGAGAATGACTTGGACATATATCTGCCTGTAACAAGTACTATATTTGCTAAAATTCCCAATCACAAGGAAACTAAACAAAACCTAACAGAACCAGCCAATATAGTAAAGTCTGTACTCCATTGAAGAATTGAACTTTCAGGTTGGGGCAAATGGGATACTGTTTACTCTCAGGTTTCATCTAGGTACTATTACCATCATGCTTAAAACTCAATTGGGTTTTGTGTTGAGTGTGGGAATAAGACCTTTGAAAACCTAATTAACAAAAAATTCTTATCTCACTAATGTCACCTTCTATCTGCCAGGATTAGACAATGGTTTTTAAGTGTCTCTGCCATTTTCTTTTCTCTCAGTTTATCTTTGGGGTTCTTCTCCAGAGAGAAAGTCATGCCACTTTAGAAGATTCACTCTTAAACTTTCATTTGACATGGTGAAGGTTTATAATGTACTGGATGGTAATAAAACACTAGGCTCACTATTGTTACCAACATGCTACTGTTAACTCATTTTCATGTTCTCTTCTTAGAAATAATGCACCATTTTCAAATGTTAAACATATTGTCTATTATAGGGCAAAGTTCTCTACAGATAATACTACTGGAAACTAAAGTAGACACAGATATTGAATAGGTGATTCTTCATTCATGACTGTATCCTGGTACTGATTTCTATACCAAGGTATTTATAAAGGTATGCTGTTTTCATTTCTTCTTCAACTGATTCATATTATTATTGTTATAAATATCACATGCAGTAAACATATTAATGGTAAATAATTGAATATTCACAGATTGAGGAACAGCTACTATATTACTCTTATGCTTCATGGACAAGGGAAGTGTATTCATAAAGTGAATAAATAAGATGTGATTTACAAATTAAGTGTAATAGTTATTCTATTCACTTATAACATATGAAAAAGTTATGACTTGAAAAGTTATTCTATTCACTTATAACACATGAAAAAGTTATGACTTGAAAATATGACTTGAAAATTTGTCTATTTAGGACAAATCCACAGTTGACTGAAATAGACAATGGATCTGAAACCACTATCATTTAAGATATACAAACTTAATAAACATCTATTGTGTTCATGTTATGTGCAATGTGCTTTAAATATAAAGATGATTAATAGTGTAGAAATTTAGAAAGACAAATAAAAAATTATGATCATCAACCATACCAATAATTTCATCATGTGTAAATGTTCTAAACACACAAATTAAAATACAGAAATTTTCAGATTTTACTTAAAAAAACCC
The DNA here is from genome assembly GCF_000001405.40 of Homo sapiens. NCBI lineage: Eukaryota > Metazoa > Chordata > Mammalia > Primates > Hominidae > Homo > Homo sapiens. The sequence goes on from NW_013171804.1 coordinate 114,058, forward strand.
AATACTCTATTATATGCTATTGACAAGAAACCTGCTGTAAATACATGGACATAGCTAGGTTCAAATGAAAAGTACAAAAGAAACTAATGCAGTACGAAAGAAAATGCAAACACCAATCAAAAAAAGCAGAAACGGCTATACTAAAATAAAGTAGGCTTCAGAACAGGGATATGGAGGGACATTGCATAGTGATAAATGGGCTAATCAACCTAGAACACATAACAATCTTAAATATATATACATCTAACAACGGAACTTCCAAATACTAGAAACACAAACTAATAGAACTAAAAGGAGAATTAAGCAAATCCATAATTATAGTTAGAGGCTTCAAAATTCTTTGCTCAGCAATTGATAAAACAATTAAACTGAAAATCAGTAATGACACAGGAAATACGAATAACACTAGTAGTCAACTTGATGTAATTAGTATTGATAGAACCCTCTATCCAATAACGGCAGACTACATAGTTTATTCAAATGCCCAAGAAATATTCACCATGATAAACCATATTCCAGGCCATAAAACAAGTCTTACAAAATTTAAGAGAATTAAAATTATGTAAATAATGTTTTCTGGTTATAACATATTCAAGCAGAAATTAGTAATAAACAATCTAGAAAATTCCCCAATATCTGGAAATTAAATAACACAGAACTTTCTAAGTAATTCATGGGTAAAAAGGCAAGTCACATGGGAAATTATAAGCATTTTTAATTTTATAAAATTAAAAACACAACCTGTTAAAATTTGGGCGGGGGGGCGGATGTAGCTAAACAGGCATATAGAGGAAAATTTATAGCATTAACTGCTTCTATTAGAAAAGGAAAAAGTTCTCAAGTTAATGATCTAGCCTTCTATTTAAGAAACTAGAAAGGGAAGAGCAAGCAGAAGGAAGAAAATAAAGAGCGGACATAAATAATATGAAAAACAGAAATACAATACAGAAGGCAATGAAACAAAAAACAGTTCTATAAAAAGATCAGTAAAATTGATAAACTTCTAGCCAGAGTGACCAAGTAGAAAGAAAAAAAAAGGCACAACATCAAGAATGAAAAGGGATATAGGACCTCAATACAGATATTAAAAATGTAATAAGAGAATATTAAGCTCAACTTTATTAACATACATAAGTTCAACAACTTAAATGAAATGGAATAATTCTTTTTAAGAAACAAAGTACCAATGCTCACTCAAGTGGAAATGGTCACCTGAATAGTCCTACATTAATTAAATGAATTGAATTTGAAGTTGAAGTCTTCAAGCAAAGAAAACGTTAGAAAGTCATTACGTGAGAAAGACACATGCACACGCATATTTATAGCAGCCACAACTCTCAATTGCAAAGGTTTGGAACCAACCTAAGTGTCCATCAACCAATGAGTGGATAAATAATATATATAAGACATCGATTGCCACTCAGCCATAAAAAGGAACCAAATAGTGTATTTTGCAGCAGCTTGGATGGAGCTGGAGATGATTATTCTAAGTGAAATAATTCAGGAAAGGAAAACCAAAAATCGTATGTTCCCACTTATAAGTGGGAGCTAAGCTAGGAGGACACAAAGGCATAAGAATGATATAACAGACTTTGGGGACTTACGGTTGGGGGAAAGTTGGGAGGGACTGAAGGATCAAACACTACATAGTGGGTACAGTGTACACTGCTCAGGTGACAAGTGCACCAAAATCTCAGAAATCACAATGGAAGAACTTATCCATGTAACAAAAAACCACCTGTACACCAAAAACTATTGGAATAAAAAACTAAAATAAAGAAAGAAAACTTTAGGCCCAGATGGCTTCCCTAATAAATTTCATAAAATATTTAACAACAACAAACAACGACAACAACAACATACAATTTCCATACAAACTATTACAAAAAGCAGAAGAGGAGGGAAAACTTTACGAGGCTAGCATTATCCCGACACCCAAATCAGGCAAAGACATCACAGGAAAATAAATCTTTAAACCAGTGTCCTTCATGATCATAGATGCACAAATTCTCAAAAACCTAATAGCAAATCAAATCTAGCAAATAGACAAAAGTGATAATACTTCATGACCAAATGGAGATTATCTCAAGAATGTCTAGCCCAACATTTGAAAAATCAACCAACAACTGATATCAACATCCATTCATGGTAAAAACTTGCAGCAAGATAGGCATTAAAAAACATGCTTGCTAATAGGTGGTAATTATATATATTAAAAAAACCCTATAGCTAATTTCACACTTAATGTTTAAAAACGGAAGATTTTCTTCCTAAAATCAGGAACAAGGCAAGAGGTCTATTTTCACCACTCCCACCCAACATACTGCAAGTCTTAGCTTGTATAACAACAGCACAACAACTATAATAAAAGGCATATAAATAGAAAGAAAAAAATAAAATGACCTTTATTCACAGCCAATATGACTGTCTACATAGAAAATCTGAAGAAATCTATAAAAAGGCTATTTGAACTAGGGTTGCAGAATACAAAGTCAACATACAAAAATCAAATGTATTTCAGTTGTTTCAATGTCAATTTTCTCCAGATTGAGCTGTGGAATCAACACATTTGTAGTATATTAAAAATATATATCTGTTGACAGGCAGGGCCTTAGGAAGTCTCCTGGGACTTGTCTCCAACTCTTGGCCTCAAGTAATCCTCCTGCCTCAGTCACCCAAAGTGTTGGAATTATAGACGAGCCACCACACCTGGTTTGGACAGTCTTTAATACACTCATGTAGGAATGTAGATTGGGAGAACCATTATGGAAAACAGTATGGAGGTTTCAAAATAAATTAAAAATAGAACTACCATATGACTCAGTAATCCCTCTTCTGAGCATATACCCAAAGGAAATAAATCATCACTTTGTTAAGATATTTTCATTCCCATGTTCCTTGCAGTATTGTTCTCAATAGCCAAGATATGGAAACAACCTGTCCATTGATGAACAAATGGATTAAAAACCCCTGTGGTACATATATACAATGGAATATTATTCAGTCCCACAAAAGAACGAGATCTTGCCATTTGCCATAACAAAGATAACCTTGGAGGATATTAGGCTAAGTGAAATAAGCCAGACTCAGAAAGAAAATATTGCGTTATTCTACCTATACATGGAACAAAAATAATGCATTTCAAATACACAGAGCTAGAGAACAACAGGAAATGGGGAGATGTAGGTCAAAGGATACAAAGTAGCAGATATGTAGGATGACCAAGTCTAGAGATTTCATGTGCAACATGAGGACTATAGGTAATAAAATTGTATTTGACATGAGATTCATGCCAAATGAGTAGATTTTAGCCACCGTTGCCACAAAATGGATAACTGTGAGTTGCTGGATATGTTAATTTGCTTCAATATAGTAATCTTTTTACTATCTATAAGTATCCCATAACATCATGTTGTAGACCTTAAATATACGCAATACAATTTATCAAAGCAAACAAACAAAAGTCCCCAAGAAACAATTGTCAATCTCACGAATGGAATGCGACATTTTGGTTAAACTCCAGCACTGAAAATTATTTCCAAGCATTAATTTGTATACTGATTAGACATTTTTGTGTTCCATGACTCTTTTTACAATTAGATGTTAACCTGTAGAAAACTATATAAGATATAGATTATATTTTCCAGGTGAAGATATAGATGATTTCTTTTTTTTAAAAATATTTTGTCATAATTTCAAGGTTACATAGAGATTATCAGAATAGAACAAATAATACTCATATATCCTTTACCCAGATGATATAGATACAGATTAATCACAATAGTTTCAGTCTAATTGCCTTTAGAACAGTAAACACATTTCAATTAAATTAGCAAAAAAGTATTATGATTATGTGTTGTGCTAAAGTAAATGAGGTTTATATAATGCTATGGAGGCTTCATGAATGAGGCCATAATTGGCATGTAGGACTGCATGTCAGGGATGCCTTCACTGTAAGATGATATCTGAGGTACACTTTGATGAGTGAGGTCACCAAGGACCTCCCAAATGCTGAAGTCACTGCTTTTATCTCCCCTACCCCCTAAGTTTTGTGTTGCATTTCATATTTCTGAAAATATTATTAATCAGCTTGAACTAAACAGCAACACTTGAAATTCAGGTGTTTTATCATCAAAATACACATTTCACTCTTCTCTTGAAACATCAGAATATAAGGCAACATTTGGTTTGCATACAAGCAGGGCAACAGTTAGCTGGATCTCAGCAGGGGCTGATTCCTAGGCATAAGAGGCATACTCTTCTGATTTGCAAGCATAGCAGGCATTATGTTTTCTTGATCCCTGCATGTGGGCGAAGGACTTGAGAAAATCTGTCCTGAAAACAAATGCAGTATCAGCACTATAATGAGGAGATTCTGGTTGGGGCCTAAAGCAAAGGTTTTTGGGGTACTAAACCTCATACTCATGAATTAAGCTAAGGACTGGAGGAAGGGTTTAAAGAGGCCACAGGTTAGTAGCACACCATGGCTCTTTTTTTTTTTTTCTTTTTCTTTTGAGATGGAGTCTCGCTCTGTCACCCAGGCTGGAATGCAGTGGCGCAATCTCAGCTCACTGCAAGCTCTGCCGCCCGGATTCAAGCCATTCTCCTTCCTCAGCCTCCCAAGCAGCTGGGACTACAGGCACCTGCCACCATGCCAGGCTAATTTTTTTTGTATTTTTAGTAGAGACAGGGTTTCACCGTGTCAGCCAGGATGGTCTCAATCTCTTGACCTCGTGATCTGCCCGCCTCGGCCTCCCAAAGTGCTAGGATACCATGGCTCTTGATGCAATCAAGTGCAAATCCTCTCTGAAGGAAATTGTTGGGAGACAATTCTCTATGGGTCTCATGTTTCTACAGATCTTGTGAGCAGAAGACCTGTCTTTGTTACGAACTATTTTTCACGGATGCTTGTATAGTGAAGAGCCTTGAAAGATAGAGATGGTGTTTTCCTAAGGAGTAAACATTGGGTTTGTGTACTATCCAATACAATAAAGATGTTTCCCTTTGGCTCGTCTGGCAGGCATGCTTGCTGACCATCATAAAAGATCCAGAGAGGGACCTGGAATTGGGATGTGATAACTCAGTGGTCAAGGGATTTTGTTTATTAGAAGTGTTTTAATTTTTTAACAATATTAATATATTTATATATAATCAAAGTAAATATATTTATATGGATTTTGTGTAATTATAAAAAATTAGCAAATGTTCATTAACCATGTATCACCTCAAATCACACACATTAATGATGATTCTTGCTCCAAAAATTGCCTTTCTTTCTTTTTCCCCAAATTCCAGTGTGCTCTCTTGCCTCCTATTTTTGACTCCTATTCTTTTGTCCATAAATAGATTTATTATTTTCAGTATCATTTTTGTTGTTGTTGTTTCCCGGGCTGAAGTGCAGTGGTGTGCTGTTGGCTCACTGCAGCCTCCGTCTACTGGGTTCAAGTGATTCTCCTGCCTCAGCCTTCCAAGTAGCTGGGACTACAGGCATGCACCACCACACCTGGCTAATTTTTAGTAGAGACAGGGTTTCACCATGTTGGCCAGTCTGGTGTCGAACTCCTGACCTCAAATGATCCACCAGCCTCAGCCTCCCAAAGTGCTGGGATTATAGGCATGAGCCACCATGCCTGGCCTGTTATTTCTTTTTAGTTATTATTTACATTTATTATTATTACAATTTGAGTGTCTGTAATATAATCTGCAAAGTTACTAACGATGAAAAGAATAATCATTACAAGTATGTTTATCATGTACCCATCGACTTACATAAACTCTTGGCAACTATGTGGATCTTACACGCTATTGGAGAAAATACAAATGGATACAACATTTTGGGGAAAAATTAGGTATATTTTGTAAAATTCATCATTTGTATGTAATACAAGGCAGAAATTCTATTCCTAGAGAGACTCTTACACATGTTCACCAGGAGAATTACATGAACATATTCACAGTGGTATTGTCTATATTTGTAAAATTCTGAAAACAACTGTGATATCTCTAGATAAAGAAATGAATACAGACATTGTGGTATAGTCACATTACTGAGTATTTAGGTGACAGTGAAAAAGAAAAAATGTGGTCTGATAAAATTGAATGGGTAATTCTTGGAAACACAATATTGATTGGAAAAAGCAAGTGAGTACAATGACATTTTGATAAGAATTTTATAAAAATGAAAATAAAATTGTGCATATGTTTACAAATGTGATAAAACCTTTAAAAAGACAATACAGTGGTAAACACAGAGCAGGCCATGTACACATTTATTAGCAACAGGTGATGGGAGAGGTAAAAAGCAATCCACGTAGATTAAAACTATGTTGGTGATATTCTAGTTCTTCAGTTGGGTGCTGGTTCATAATTATTCATTTTCTTATTTGTCTCATTATCTATAAATATATACAGAGAGAATGTGTCTCTCACATGTGTCAAAATATTACACACTAAAAATGGAATATACGAAACTGCCTTGTGTATTGCTAATCATGTTTGTCTTGAATAAGTGTCTGTGGACTGTATCAGTCTTAGGATTTAGAGATTATTTTACAAGGCGATACTTTTTATGCCTGCCTGGGTGTGTTGCAGGTTTTGGAGGTAAGTAACATCATCTTCTTCAGTGTCAAAGCCCATATAACTATGTGCAAAGTAGGAGAACAATATCTACTTGAGTTACTACCGGGCAGGTAGCAGATATTTGCTTATAGGATGCATTTCTACAATTGTAATTATGTTTTTAAGAATAAAAATATTCCATACTAGGAAACTACATAGGTGTTACTGAAAGCGTCACGCTGTGTAATGGAAGTGAGGATTACTTTTTTATGGCCCATGGTTTCTATGAATAGAATTAACCAGACACCAATTATCACCTCATTGAAAGGATAAGTCACTGTGACATCTACAGCTGAGATCAAACTCATTGCTTTTGCAATGTGAATTAATTAGAGTTGGAGAGAGCTACACTGAAGGGTGAGGAAGCACTGCAGATTTGAAAAGTCTATATTTTAAGCAACTCAGGGGAAAATCTGTTCCAATTAGTGTGTGACGTTAATATGCAATGGTCTTATTTATATAAAAGTGCTTTAAAGAAATACTTCTAAAAGAAAACATTAAAAGAGTCATACAAAATATCCTCTTTTTGTGATGATTATAATTAAAAGAATATAAAAATTCAGAAAGTAGATTATTTATTTATTTTTAACTGGCAAGCAGGCTCTACAGAATGGGGTATCTTTACTTGAAAGCATGTGTTCCTGGGTAGTGAATAAAGAGAGATAGTTGGCTTCTTACCATAATTCAAAAACATATCAGATAAATATGCCTACCAGCCTATTTGGACACAGCAGTAGGTATTACCATCTGCTCCCAAATATGCCTGCAACCCTGTAGCTCTTCCATTTTGGCATCAGAATTTATAGAAAAGAGCATGATGTCCTAAGATATACTGATTTCTGAGAAGTGCTTTGAAAATGTATCTGTAGTGACACAGAGTAGGGTAAATAGCTGGGTTTGATTCAAATGCTACTGTTTATTTTGGGGAACACCACCCCCACATTTCTTCTTCTATGATGGAACAGGATGACATGACCCAGAAGACAATTCTGTTGGTATGATCAGGTAGACAGAACATTGTTCAAGCAGATCATAGCCACATTTATCATTTGTTTGTTTTTACCAGAAAATGAAACAAAACAAAACAAAAATTTAATGACACAAACAGATGTAAGCATCTTTATAGGTAAAAGTCCTGAGAAAACAGTAGCCACATTCCGAAGGGAATGTTCCTGTCTCAGGAATATTTCTAGGCAGGTCCATTTCCACCTTCAAAATTATGTATTGGAAATCTTAGTATTAGAATCTAGATATAAAAATCTCACAGTGATGTAATATATAGTACCTAATTTTAAGGAGTTCCTGATCTCATATTATATTATTAACATTGATTTCCAAATTCTCATTCATACTGTGTGTATAATCATAAACAGAAATTTGATTGCTTAAGAATTTATAATGCGTAAATTGGATTTCATATAACTATAGATATTTTGTTGTGAAAGCAGATTTATTTTGTTAATTTTTATCATACCTGATCATTTGGAAAGAATAAAGAAGATAAAAATGTTTAAAAATCAGCACATACAAGATGTAAATATGAAATCTGAACCAATTGGCCAATGTAAAACAGAGAGAGAGAGAGAGTAGAGAGCAGGAGACCAGAAGCTTTAGCAAATGAACAATAATGATCAGCAAAACAAAACAAAACAAACCCGAAACAAACAAACAAAAAAAAATGCTCATTATAGATATAAAAAAAGATCTTTCAGAAAGATCTGAGCTTTAATAGATGCTTAGGGATTCATTGCTGGAAGAAATTTGGGATATTAGGTAGATAGTAGTTTCTTATTTTTAAGAAGACAGAACATTAATTATAGACAGATGATGTTCTTGAATGAACAGTACGATTTTTCTGGCAGCTCTATAAAAATACACCTGTACAGATACGATTAGCATCCTCACCTCCCATGAAATCAAGAATGGGGATGGAAGGTGATTCTGAATATATTCTTGATGCATTAATGAGGTAGCAGAGCAGAGTGTGATGATAAAACCAAAGTGCTTGCTCAAGATTGTCATGACTGACATTTACAAAATAGGAAAACTAATAAGAGAATTATTATCTTTTGTAGCACCTGATTAAAAAAAGAATTCTCAAGCGTTAAAAACCATGTCATTATCCACAGACAACTTGAGGAGCTAAAGACTTGAGACATGATGTGTGCCTGTCACTTATGCATGTTACCCCACTGAGTTATTCCCAAATACCCATATGATTAACCCACATGTATAGTAATTGAGAATATTTTTACTTTAAGAAAAGATGTGGGAGAAAATTATTCCTTAATCATACATATAGAAAATCTTATTTCAATTATTCCAGAATTCTAGGATTACTTAAAATTTTAATCCGTATTTTTTAAAAATTGACTATCCTGAGTTATTGATGTGAAGTAAATAATGATACCTCTTGGCTATATTTGCATGGAATTTAAAAAACACACACAACTTTTTTGGGGCTAATTTGACTTAGTGCTTAACATAAATGATCAAAAATGGACCATCTGTCAAGATAAGAATATAACCAGTGCTTCATTGGTAAGCATACAGACTCTTCTTTTAAATGTAAATATTGGCTTCGTCTTTTATGTAATTATTGAAGACAACAGCCAGAGATTTTATTTCATATGTTTTATAAATATGTAGGTTGTAGCTGCTCCATTATTTTTAATAGCTTTTCATTTTTGAGAAAGAAAATATTCTTACAATAAGAGTATTTTCTGTCATCCATATATGAGGGCAAGAAAGAGGCAATTATGATGTGTCTATTCTCTTTTGAATTTACCATTCTATGGCCACCAACAGGTAGTGCCTGAGTAGGGGTGATGATCTAAACAGAAGAAAATGGCCAGTTTGAGCCATTGAACCAGAATCACGCTGCGGGAACTGTGGCTTCTTCCAAGTCATCCAAAGATAACTGCCAGCCAAGGGGGTAGAGAGAGGTGGCCTTCAGCCATTTGGCGTTCAGAAGCATGTAAGCCAGATTTGCTCCAAGAGCCTAATCACCATCAATCAGAAAGATAACAACTCGCCCTCGCATTGAATTGGAGCTGAAAGATTCGCTTTCCCACCAGGGTGGCTGATTACGTAGATAATTTAGCCCATGTGGAAAAACATTTACCAATGACAACATTTTCTTAAATATACAGACTACAATTGTTTTACGATGTGATCATTCACGGAGGTTACTGTTATAAGTGACCCTGATTTCACTGTACAAATTAATATTTTCAGGAAATTAAACTGGTAGAGATTTTTTCTCAATTTTGAAACATGACACTTGGGAAAAAATAAGAAAACAAAAACAAAATAACAACAAAAGCAAAATTTGTGAATTGCTAGTTTCCAATAGAATGAATTAACGCTATAATTTGAGCAGAGTGATTTTGTTTTCTTGCAAATAGAAAACTAAAGCAGGTATTGATTTATTTGTGTCTTTGGTCAGTTTTTATGGTCTCTGTGTCTTTGATACTGCATTGTCCTGGCTCTTATTTGTGGAAGCATGTAGTAATCAAACAGTTTTAAATTAAATTTTCTTTTTCAGTAGTGATTTTCCTATTTAGAACTTCCTAGCTCTTTTGTACTTGTCTTAACAGTGCTGGTATTCCAAGTTATAACTTTTTATTTGGGTGGGTTAGCCAATGTATTTTTTAAAAGTCTAATTAATATTATTTTCTAATGTCTTACTTCCAGACACAATTTGAGAAAAAGGGATTAAGGGAACTCCTTTAGTCACCTAATGTCATTAGGAAATAGTTTTTGTTTGTTTTTTTTTCCATTGCACCAACTTTACAGACAGCATAATGATACTTTATAAATGTCTCAAGCCAAATGTCTTTTTTAAAAAAGATCAGATCTCTGCTTGAGTTAGCATGAAAAAATTTTCGTAAGTAATTATGGAGTAAAACAAAATGTGGAATAAACAAGTAAATATATGATGAACTTATATATGTTAAATGAGAATGTATTATTTTAAAGAAAGCAATTGCTCACACTAGTTCTTGGTTTCAATGTTGCAAAAATCTAAAGAAAAAAATTTAGCATATCCTTTCCTTCTTTAGCGTATCCTTTGCTTCCATAAGAAAAAAAAAAATCAAAGAGGTGACAATGAACTTTCTCCAATTTTTGCAAGTACCTCACCTTTCCATTAAAAGTGGAGCAATTTGGCTGGGAATGGTGGCTCATGCCTGTAATACCAGCCCTTTTGGAGGCCAAGATGGGTGGATACCTTAAGCCCAGGAGTTTGAGACCAGCTTGGGCAACACGATGAAACCCTGTCTCTACAAAAAATACAAAAAATTAGCTGGGCGTGGTGATGTGCACCTGTATTCCCAGATACCCTGGAGGCTGAGGTGAGAAGATCGCTGGAGCCTTGGGAGGCAGAGGTTGCAGCGAGCCAAGATGTTGCCACTGCACCCCAGCCTGGGCCATAGAGCAAGACCCTGTCTCAAAAAATTAATAAATAAATAAAAAAGATGAAGCAGTTCTTCCAAACACACAGTAATTTCTGTTTATAAATTGATTTTGATAATACCATTATCAAAAAGGACCATCAGATATAGCCTGGCTTGGCAAATTTTTCTGTATAGGACTAAATAGTAGATACTTTAGGCTTTGTGGGCTATCCAGTCTTTTGTGACTACTCAACTCTGCTGTTGTGGCATCAAAGCATTCAGACAATAGTAATCACATAAGTGTGGCTGTGTTCCAATAAAACTTCGTTGGTGGGCAAAAAAATTCAAAATTCATGTAATTATCATGTATCATTCTTTTGAATTTTTTTCCCCAAACATATAAAAATGTAAAAATCATTTTTAGAATATGGGCTCTATAAAAACAGATAAGGTAAGTAGACAGGAAGATGGCTTTAGCCAACAGATAGTGTGCCAATTCCTGAGATGAATAATTAAGTCTTGGCTAACATATATACTCCATTCCTACTCAGGTAGGTGTTTTATAAAGGCTGTTTAATGGTAATCAAATTTGCAAAACCGTTATTTCCAAAGATACTCAAGCCCACTGTAATTTTCACTGAATGCCAGTGCTGTCAGCTAAAACAAGTGCTGTAAGAACCATGTTGGACAGTATCTAACCTCATGAAACAGGAGCTTAAAGATAAGTTCTCATGATGAATTGTATTGAATTACTTGGTGCTCAGTGTCTCTTTGTTTACTTCCTGCCTCGCTGATATTAAGCTATGCATTCATCCACCTAGTCATTTTGTCATTTCTTTGTTCATTCTATCGCTCCACATTCAATGCTAAGCACTTTCCTATGCACTCGGGAAACAGGGGAGTTCGACGTGATTCCTGAACTGCAAGAATTGATAATAGCCACGAGTGAGACAAACAAACTGGTGGCTGGATTCCAGTGTGATAAGTGTGAGATAGGAAAAGATAATTGCCACAAAAGAGAACGGATGCTGTGCACAACACAGAAAGTAAAATGAAGACTTCAGAGAAACAAATCCGTTTAGGACATTAAAAGAAGAGAATTCTTCCTGCCAACAGCCTCAGATAATACATATCCTATTTATTTATGCAACATTGTAGCAATTTTCTGCATCTTTCACAGACAGAATTTTAGGGATGAAAGACATCCTAATAATAACTTCTTTGAATTCTCAAATTTTAACTGATGAGGAAAAAGTGGCCCTGAGAGAAGTGAGAAGTTCAAGGTCATCCAGCTCTTGAGAGGTGGCCTTATTCAACTCCAAAGCTCTTCAGTGCCAACTCAGCATTGTTTTCACTAAGCCTTTCATACCTCTTCCATAGCTTTTCAATGATTATGCATTGTTGATTTTGTTGATTCTCTCTTTTCTATGCAGATTCTCTAAGTCAACTTTCAGAGCTCTTACCTTTTCTTCAGTGATTCCTTAGTGACTATAGTTGATAAAAATTGAGAAAATGCAGTTGGAACTAATGCACAAAGGATGTTCCCTTTAAAAAATTTTCTGCTGATCTGAAGTAAAAACACAACTACCTCAGCTCTCAGACTCAGCATATTGTCTTCTTCATTCCAGGTTACTCCATAAATTGAAATTATCGTCATTTGTGGCTCTCACAAGATTAGAGGTGACTGAGTACTTCATCAACTAAGATCAGAATTTCCCATGGCACAAAACAAAACACTTGTATAATGATCTAGGAGAGTGGATTAAACATACTGAATGAGAGAGCTACACACTGAAAATGTTCAGGGGATTATCAGTGTAGCTTTTCAAATCCATTCAATGAAAGTGAAATTGATGTGGCTTTGCTTAAGTGTCAGTACCATTTTGGGGTCTGAACTTTTATATTTCTGACTTCCTGCTATTTTAACTGTAAAGAAAAGAATCCACACTCTTTACTTAGCTACGACTCCACCCAGTGCTCTTTTTGGTACATTCAGGGTTGGGAAGTGGAGGGAAGCATTCAACTTCCTAAGGCAGAATCTCTGTAGACCTGCAGGGTCTTAGAGTTATTGTGCTTTTCTCTAGGACATCATAATTAGAAAAGGGGGGGTCGATGGCTGAGATACCTGGAAGAATTTCCAAAGGTTGAACATGGCAACTACAACTACAACATAGCAAGAGCTTCGTAGGAAACCTTACTCATCATTTTTGTTATCCACTTAGTGGGTCACTGTGTTATAGGGCTTCAGGTACATAGTTTCATTTAATCTATGTTGAATCCTATGAAACAGCCCCTATTCTCCCCATGCATCTCAGTCACATCTGCAGTGGAGGGAAGTACACAGGATTTGGAAATGAAGGTTATAATAATAATATCAATAATATTAATACAATAATAACAATAGGCATGTACCATTTGTGTTTTAGGGATTCTTATAAATATTAATACTTAATATGTTAATTTATTTAATCTTTCCAGCATCCATAAGAGTTATGATCCTCACTTTAAAATTATAAGCTATAGTTAAATATGCCTAAAGTTAATAAGTAAAAGAGCAAGAGTTTGGAACCAGGCGATCCGACTTTAGAGGTCACATAGAAATACCACCATACTACAGAGAAGCTCCCACAAAAGGCAGCCGATGGAGGGGTGTTTATATTTGCTGTTAACCTATATTCCATAGGCAAAAAAAAAAAAAAAAAAAAAAAGGTTTCATCTGCAGGCTCCTACCTAAGTTTAATAGGTGTATAATTTGCCAATAGAATTTAAGAAATATTGAGCAAACTCTGTAGTTGGTGATTTAAATGCTCATTTAAAAAATTTCAATACATGATAGTTGTTCTTTCTCCATGTATTTTTTAATGAAATCTATCCCTTATCCACCTCCATGGATTGGAATTGTTTTGTTCTATCTCTTATTATCCTTGAATATACCTCAGCATAGACAGTGTGACATAATGTCTGTATGTGTTTGTGATAACTTAATCTACCTTCTATGGGAGATCAGTTGGCCTAATTGGGAGAACAGTCTCCAAGGACAGCTAGCATTTTAAAACTTCTAATCTGAAGCCCACTTTCTAAAAGTATGCTCTTCAGCTATCTTTATCTTTAAGATTTTTATGTCTGATTAACATCAGAGGTTTTATGGATTAGCATAACAGATATATTAGAAATTATTTTTTTGTTACTCACATGAGGATATGAGTAATGGAAGTATTGTAGGAATAGAGTGTAAGAATCTAGAGACTAGGTGGCCTGTATCTTTTAGAAGGAGGCCAAAAGCCAGACTTTGAAATAATCTAGTATACACCCATTGATTCTGAAGATACTTGCTGCCACACTAAATTCTGCTGCTAGAATATTGGTTGCATTTCCTTCAAGCAAATTTGTCACACTGCTGGCGTTAAAACACTAAGAATGTACCGAACAAGCTGCATGCTTGATTGCCAATAAGTGTTTGTATGTGTGACCAAATTTCATCTACCAGCCTTGTTTTTACTATAATGTGGTTGTAGGAAGAGACTTATAACCTTTACCTGACTCTACTATTGAAACTTTTATTTACCACTTGGAACCTACTAGTTGTGAATGATCCATTGCCTTAGATCAGATTGTGGCAGGAGTCTGTGTGTGCACACACATGCACATACACACACACAGGAGAAAAGTGAAATAAAAGGGAGGAAGTAGGTGAGAGAATCAGGCTGCCAACTGTTTATATATGGACTTACTTGTCCTTGTCCCCTTTGGTTGGAAAGTTTTTCATCCACAAATTCTCCTGAATTTCTTACAGTGATCAGGCCATTTGTCTTTTGCTACAGAGATGATAGCACATTCTTTATGATATACACTTAACTACAGTTGTTCATACCCCTGTCACCTTCAGGATTGATGACTCAAAAGCACTCTCCTTCAGACTACCATGCCAACTTACATGCCTTTATTTGTTCTTTGAAAGCCTGTGTTGTGTATATTTCATGGAAAAATCTGGTTTAAATGTTCTTCCTTTTACTTTTTACACATGACAAATGTTCAAGCCACTTTTCTCCCTCAAAATTTTCATTAATATTGCTTTCTTCCTTTCTTCTAATGTTGCCATGCTTCTTCCTCATGTCTTTGAAATCAGAAAACCATTTAGTAAACAGTGTCATAAATACTTCTTAAAACCCTTAGGGCTCATATCACGGAATACTATTTCCAAGCCTGCAGCATCATAGTTTTCTTAAGTTACAGTTTTTCCTGTAAAACTTATATTATTTACGTTTGTCTGTATGAATTAAGTATTCTCTCCCCAGAATGGCATTTCTTGAATTTTTCTCCCTACCTTTTGTTTTCATTTTCTTCTTTAAATGTAGCTATAATCTGTTTCAACAAGGGGTGAAGATACATTGTAGAACCAACAGAAACCTTCATTTGACCCAGCAGAGGAAATAAATTTAGTATTAACATGAGCGGTTGCATTAGTTTAGGTAGGCTGTGCTATGCTGCAATGAAAAACAATCCATGGTAACAAATTTACTAAACAAATTTATACAACAAATTCTTTCTCACTCTTACAAAGTCCACCCAAGGTTGAGGGACTCTCCAGGTTGACTCTCCTCTATGTAGTGACTCACGGATCCAGGCTGCTTTTATCTTGGGCTTATGCCACTTATAACACTTGGCTTTTATGGTAACCGAAGCAATGGAAAAAAACAGTTGGAAAGTTATCTACCAGATCTTAAATGCTTTACCCAAGAGTAATACAAATTACTTCTTTTTACAGCACATTGACCAGACCAAGTCACCAATGACTGCCTAACTGCAAGGGGACTATAAATACCAGGTGAGCAGTAATCATCTCTGCCTAGTGCTTTCCTAGAGCAAGCACTGTGTAACTGCTGAGGCCCTCTGGCACCAACTCCACTCAGTCTGGTCGGGGGAGCAATGGAATGCAACTAAATAGTTACAATTAGCATGCCTCTGTCATTCAGAGTTATCCTTTTAATTAACTGGCATTTCCACTTAGAGATACGACTGGCATCTCATTCAACTGAACCCAATTTCCCTCTCCCCCACTCTTTGCAAAGTGCTATTCGTTTATAAAGTAGTCAGCCTGTTCCTCTCCTTTAGGCAAGAATAAATAAAATGATATGGGGATGGGGTGGTGAAGTTTTGATGAGTTCCTTCCTTAGCAATAAACCATGAGGGAAGAATTCCAACAGTACCTCCATATTTATAAGATTGTATCCTGCTATGGATTAGGATCTTGAGAGCTTTAAAATAGTTTCTCAACTTTTAAACCTTGCTAAGCTTGTTATACTCTATCTATATCTATGTAGAGATTAGCAGCAAAGCCTTTAAAAATGTAGCATCTGTGCATTTTTCTTTCAGGACTACAGTAAGGAGAAGGGAAATCTGGGGTGCTGAAGAATGGTCATGAAGAGAGGCTATGGTGTCAGTAAGCTCTGAGATGAAATTTCTCTCACTGTTGCCTATGAACTGTTTGATCTTGAATAAGTTCATTGGCATCTGTATTGCTCTAAAATGAAGATGCAAAGACCTACCTCAGCAGTAGTTGTGAGGATGAAATAAGAAAATGTACCCAAAGCATTTAGTGGCAAGCATCAACGAATAGTGGCCATCAATATAATTGTTAATACTAATAATCATAACAGTTATACTGCAGAGAGTAGGAGAAGAGAGCCACAAAGAGCTCAGTCTGGGTGGAGGTCTAGGAGATGGCCCTGATTTTAGTAGTGGAAATATTTGCAAGAAGGTTTGAGGCCTCCTCTTATATTCTTCTTGGATGATATCTTTCTAATATTTTTCCATCTTTCTGCGAATGAAATAGAGTTGTTTAATATCAACATTTATTTTCTTTTTGATTCTGCCTAGATATGGTGGCCTTCTTGGTCTGAGTTGGAGAGTCTGGGGATGTGCCAGGAATACTGGGTCAATAGAAGGAAAGCTTAGATTTTGAAAATCGATATGTAGACTGAAGATGAGGGAGACATTTCTATAAGGGTCACAGGGACAGAGGAAAAGCAATATGAGGTAGATCTGGGGGTACTCAACGAAATGAGCTTGGCACCAAACCAGGAGCTCCAAAGAGACACTACAGAAGTCAAGGCTTAGATGGGGACAGGAATGACTTCATGGCTCCTTTCACAGAAAATGTTATGGCATGGGGAGAAGAAAAGGAATCGTATTGTAGTCTCAAAGGACTTCATTATTTGTTTAAAGGATAGTAGTATGTATACTGCTACTATGGCATTCTCAAGATTTTGCTTGGTTCTCTCTCCATTTCACTTACTTTTAATACTGGTGACACCCAAATAAAAACCCCAGCACACGTCTTTAGGTCAGTTTTTCTCAAAGAATAGTCCCCAGACCAGCAACTTCAACATCATCTGGGAGCATTATAGATATGCAAATTCTTGAGCCCCACCTCAGAATCAGAAACTTTGGGTGTGAGGCCCAGGAATCTGTGTTTTCAACAAGTCCTCTTGGTGACTCTGTTGCACACAAAGTCTGAGAGCCAAATTGTTACAGAGTATATCACATATTTCTCATATTCAGTATGCTCCAAATGTGACTCACCTCTTCTTCTCCACTCTTGCTAACCATACCCAGTCCCACTGTTTTTACAAAAATATTTCCTCCTTAAGACCAGAGGCTCAAGTCAGAAACTTGAATTTCTACTCTACTTCTTACCCACCCATCAAATAAAATCTCCAAATTATCAAATCACCAAATAGCTCTCAAATATATCCTCTTATCTCCCTGCCCACAGACCACCATCAACTCAGCCTGTACTTTGGAAAGTCTTCTCTGAACCACTATTTTGTGCCAGGCATTTTGTTAAGCCAGAGTCAGCAACTATAGATGGCAAGACAAATCCAGCTTATGCCTGTTTTTGTAAATAAGATTTTACTAGAATGTAGCCACAATCATTCATTTTCATATCACCTGTGGCTTTTGTGTGTGTTTGTTTCACTGCAACAGAGTAGTTGTGACAGAGACTGTATGGCCCACAATATCTAAATTAATCTTTACTATCTGGTCCTGTACAGAAAAGCTTTACCGATCTCTGTGATTGGCACTGGGTACTGGAGAGAAAGATGCCATCTACATCCTCATGGAGCTGACAGTCCAACAGGGAAGATCAGAAGTTAAAGTGAGCTATCTAGTTATCTAGGTCAGGAACATCTGACCTACACTATGGGGAACCAGAAAGGATTTCCAGGGAAAGTGAGGTGAAGCTGAGTTTCAAAGGATAAATAGAAATTCATTAGATAAAGAAAAAAAAAAAAAAGAAAAGTGTTCAAACCAGTGGAAATACCTTTTTTTTTTTTTTTTGATAGCTTCTCTCAGCTCTTAGTCTAATCCTCAGTACATTCTGATTTTTTAACCTAGCTGACTGTTCAATGATCACCTTATAAAATCCAGTGAGTCTAAGTCTTTAGAACCGGAATCTTCTGATCGCCGCCTTCCTAGATGGTTTTTCTGTGCCTGCTGGGTGAGTCCTCACTTTGGATGTGGTCAGTCGTGATTCAGGTAGCACTGGAACACCACTTTCGAGCACCCCAAACAACCCACATTAAGACTCTAAACAAATTGCTTCCTGCAAGGCCAATACACACTTTGGGAATTGCCAAAAGTAGTAACTATCAGATTGCATTTTACATCTGGTAAAAGTGACCTGGATAGAAGAGTACTGGTGTAACAGTTTTGCCCAAGGGTCTGTGGCCTTTTGCTCAAATGTTTTCAGAGGCAAATTATACACAAGATCTGAAATTATTTTGGCCACATATTTATTTTTTTCCTAGTGAAAATTCTTTTCCTTTTTGTGGAGACGCTTGAGGAAAACATTTTTTAAAAAAACTCAAGAAAATATATCTGAAATAATTATAGAAGAATTTACTTCCTTTACTTTTTTCTCTATTTCCACTGCATGATACAAAACAAAACAAGAAAACCTTTCCTCTGCTCATTAAGGACGACTGCTTCATAGGCACTTTCTTTCTTTCTCCTAGGAGAAAAGAAGGTGCAAAAATGGGGGTCCAGGCCATTGCCATGGGGAGTCCAGGCTCCAACAATTTGTGGCTAGAGCCATTTTTCTTCTCATTTTGCTGTAACCTCCTCTGCTTTTACTGCTGCCCCAACATCTCAGGTAAAACACATATTCATTCTCTTTCCTGTCTACAAAGCCATGCTAGAATAATTCCACCTGTTTTGTAGCTGGCACTGATCCTTTTTGGCATGAAAAATGGAAACACTGGGACCGTGAAAGCACTGTCTACATTTCCAGCATCTCACTGGGTGCCCTCCTCTAGCTAATAACTTGCTCCCATCCAAATGGTACATTTTCACTTCAGGCAGGGATGTCTCTGGATGACTGTTTTAGAGGTAGAAGTAGTTAGGGGATCTGAGACACTTCTTAATTTTCCCCTCCTCTCCAGCCTCTAACATTCCTCATGAATCAGATCACTGACTGCTCGCTGCTTTTTTTCCTGCACAGCCTGCTTTGGTTATCACCAGCATTACTTTCAATCATGTTGCAGATCTAGCTGATTAAAAACACTGGCCTTGAGAAAATTCTCTTTCTTAGAAGTCAATGCTTGAAGGAGATTAGGACTATTTATATTGTAAGGCACTCCCTGAAAGCCTCTGGTGGCTTTACTCTCTTGACTGATGCAAACCTCGACTAATTCTCTTTATCCAGATAATCCACTCACTTCCAATATTCATCAAATGGCAAAATGAAAAGCTTTTAAGAAAGAGAATAAATGTGCAGGCTTAAAATCACATAGAATTTTAGTCTTAACAAAATTGTGAGAGAAATTATGGGAAATCAGGGTTCTGAATCCTATTTCCAATGAGATAACATAAAAGCAGATAAAATTCATGGGACCATAGCAAATATGTTTCGTATCTCTTGAATTACTTTAGCAGGTGTTTCGATTACAAACCTTTGATGAGGAAAAAAATGTGTTTTTCTTTCTCTGATAAGATCACAATAGGACAAACTTTTAGAAATCTGAGCTCCTATTTTTTTCTTTTTTTTTTGTTTGAGACAGAGTCTCTTTCTGTCACCTAGGCTTCAGTGCAGGGGCTCAATTATAGCTCACTGCAGCCTCAAACACCTGGACCCAAGTGATCCTCCTCCCTCAGCCTCCCAAGTGGCTAGAACTATGGATGTGTACCACCATGCCCGGCTAATTAAAAAATATATATATATTATTTTTTAGAGATGGGGTCTCACTATGTTGCCCAGACTGGTCTCAAATCCTGGGCTGAAGTTATCCTTCTGCTTCAGCCCCCCGAGGTGCTACAATTACAAGTGTGAGCCACCATGCCCAGCCATACTTCATTTTTATACATGAAATTATCTATTGCATCCATCTTTCCATCTGATGCTTATATTAAGTATATTCGATATTTACTATGCAGTGACCACACACAAGGTACTAACAAATAAAGGGGGAGAGTGTTGTCCTAAAGGAGTTTCCAGTATTATAGTAAAGACTGATGGAGTCATTCTGAGTTAGGCCAGAAAACTAGGGGAAGCTAAAATAATCAAAGTCAGTCTTTTCTCTGATTCAATCATTTCTATGGCATTAAGAGAAACAAAACATGGTGAGAAAAGGGATGTTTTTTGAAGTGGTGACATCTAGAACTCCAGTCCCAGATTTGTGTAATTAGTAGTTAGTTAAACAGGCTTCTGTGAACTAAAAGCGGTGTCAATCATACCTCTGCATCTGTTACTCTGGGTTAGGGGTAACATGTAGGATGATGCTACAAGATTCTTACTAGTGCTGCCAGGGTCTCAGCAAGGCATATCAAAGGATTTTCCAAGAATATTCACAAAGTAGTGTAGCCATTTTATTACACTTTGAAGAATTCTGACCAAAAATGTAAAATGAAAGAAAATAAAAACTCAGTTCTCTTTATAGATAGCAATATGCTATAGTAAGGTATCAACTGGCTTAGTATTCACCAAAAAATGCTCTGATATTTGGAGCAAAAGAGTATGAGAAGAATGGTCTGTTGATGGAAGGAGCTAGCAGGTTTCTTTTCCAGGTTTACTCTATATTTGACAAGTGGGCTGTTTCTGGCAAGTTGAATAAAGTGGTGAGAATCACTATAAGAGAACAAACAGAAGAGCTATAAACCATATCCTTTTGACCTGAATTTTCAAACAGAAAAACTATCATTTAAAGTTTAGTCAATGCAAACAAAACAAGAAGACTGCAGGCCAATCATGTTGCCTTTAAGGTCTGATTCCAATTACTCAGGTTTCTACAGGGTAGTTCGGGTGCAAACAGGGATGGGTATTGATGGCCATACAGTTGAAACGAGGGCACTTATGTCTGTGTATGTATCCTGTTATATCTCCATAATGAAACAATGAATGTGCTGAATTGTAAAATGATAAGAATCGTTTTTAGAGGCCTTAGCCTAGGAAAGGCCCCTTACACTCGGAAAATCCTATTCAGGGCTTGTACAACATGTAAAACCTCAGTGGGATCATTTGGTCCTGTAGGTGGGCACAATCTGAAGGTATCTGAATAAGGGAGGGAGGTAAGCTGATTTCATCTTGGCTAACACTTTTTAACCACATCAACATGAATATTGACATTCTCCTGAGACCCAGTGTATATGTCATAGCAATCTCTTATTCATTCCTGGGGACTTTATGGTCCTGAGGATAAAAGATGCTTGGACTGCCTCCCTTCCCCCGACAAAGATTTCAAGATACTCCCTGAACAAAAATTTTACAAGCTCCAAAAAATAAGGAAAAAAATCAATGTAACCCTTTTGCCTCCTCTTTCTATAGTTAAGCAGATGGCCGGCATTAGGGGGAGATGGCTTTGAAACGGGTCCCAGTTCGTATGCATCTATGGGCCTTGGGCATTATCTAGAAGATACGTTATTCTAGGTGGAAGCTCCCATGCAGATTATAGGACATTTAGGGAAACGTTCTCTTGAATTTGAATTTAAACTGTGCTGAGCTCAAGAATCAGTGTTGTTCTTAGGAGACTCTGCATATACAATGGTTATCTACATTTCATGGTTGTGCGCAGATTTTAGAGAGGACCGTGTATAAGGTATCCAAACAAAGCTTGGGTGGCTGTCCTGAACTGGAGCTCAGAAAGATCACTTTACTTACACTCTAGTCTACGGTGTTGTTGGAGGTAGAATAATTTTTTACTTTGGTAAAGGTATTTCTGGTGGTTATTCTATTTCGCAGATTCTCTGAAGGGAAGAGGTTTGAAGAAGGAAGCCTACAGGGCAGGGAAGCAAGTTCAGAGATTGGGGTATGTTCCTAATTGTAGAGGGTTTCATTTGGGATGCTTTTTACTTACGTTTTGAAAATAATCTTACATAGAGGATAATTATTTCCATGACATGAACAGACATTTCTCAAAAGAAGATAAACAAATGGCCGACAAACATAGGAAAAAATGTTCACCATCACTAATCATCAGGAAAATACAAAATAAAACCGCAAGGAGAGACCACCTTACCCCAGCCAGAATGGCTTTTACTAAAAAGTAAAAAACAATAGACGCTTGCATGAATGAAGTGAAAAGGCAATGCTTATACACTGTTGGTGGGAATGTAAATTACTACAGCCTCTATGGAAAACAATATGTAGATTTCTCAAAGAACTGAAAGAAGATCTATCATTCAATCTAGCAATCCCACTGGTATGTATCTACCCAAAAGAAAATAACTCATTTTATAAAAAAGACACCTGCATGCCTATGTTTATCACAACACAATTCAGTTTTAAAGACACAGAATCCAATCTAATGCTCATCAACTGATGAGTGGATAAAGAAAATGTGGTTGCATGTGTATGTTCATCAAAGCACTACTCAGAATAGCAAAGTCATGGAATCAACTTAGGTGTCCATCAATAGTGGATTTGATATAGAAAATGTATATACCCATCATGGAATACTACACAGCCATAAAAAGAATGAAATTATATCCTTTGCAGCAACATGTGTATAGCTGGAGGCCCTTATCCTAAGATAATTAGCACAGGAACAGAAAATCAAATACTGCATGTTGTCACTTATAAGTGAGCTAAACATTGGATACACATGGACATGAAGATGGGAACAACAGACACTGAGAGGGTGACTGGAAGGAGGGGAAGGGTTGAAAAATGACCTATTGGGTACTATGCTCACTACCTGGGTAACGGGATCATTCATATCTGAAACCTCAACATCACACAATATACTCACGTAACAAACTGCTCATGTACTCCCTGAATCTAAAATAAAAGTTGAAATTATTTAAAAAATAAGAAAATGTGGTGTGTATATAAATATATACTTACTATGGAATACTATTCAGCCATAAATACAGACAAAATAATGTCTTTTGCAGCAACTTGGATGGTGCTGGAGGCCATTATCCTAAGCAAAGTAATTCAGGAATGGAAAACCAAATACCACATGTTCTCACTCATAAGTGAGAGCTCAGCTGAGTATGCACATGCATACAGGGTGGTATAATGGACATGAGAGAGTCAGAAGTGGGGAGGGTAGGAGGGGCTGAGGGATGAAAAGTTACCTACTGATTATGATGTACACTATTTGGGTGATGGGTACACTAAAAGCCCAGACTTCACCACTATACAATTCATCCATGTAACCCAAAACCATTTGTATCCCTAAAGCTGTTGAATTTTTCTTAAATGCATTTTAGCAAAGTCTCATGCACCCAAAAACCTTTTATTTACTTATTGTTTTTCTTGGGGGGGAAGGGAAAGAGATGGTTATTTTCAAGCAATCTTTCAGATCTTACCTTAAATCTTCCTTGCACAGAAAATGCTCCTCTACATGCAGAGGATCAAGTTCTTCAATTATTATCTCCTCCAGATACCTTGTGCTTTTCATTCCTAGTGCTTGCCACAGTTTGTAATTAAATGTATGTAATTATTCAATTAATCCAGAGCATTGTTTTCTCACTATTGGCTTTCCAATGCTTGTTACCATGCCTGACCCATAGTATGGATACATATTTGTCCAATAAATGATAAATGCTCAGGGTGTGTGTGTGTCACAGTTGGGGAGAAGAGCGTGAGATGGGAGAAACAGGACAGATACAGGCTTTACTCCTTCCCAAATATATTAAAGGAAGGTGACTCCTGAAAGCAGAAGGATGCTATCTGGACACTGAATAGAAACTCTGAAGTAATTTTTGAGCTTGTTGAATTTTTAGCATGTTTTAACTGGAATCTGATCTAAAATTAGTATCTTTTTCCAGCAGAGAGCTCAGGAAATTAAGTTTTTTTTTTTTTTTGTACTTTCAGGGTATGATTAACTTATACCCAAGTAATTAATTCGTGAGTACAAAAGCACTGTTAGATTTGTAAAACATAGCTCCATTGTGCCTTAATACTTTCATTGACATCTTGTTTTACTTACTAACCTACCATTTTAATAACTTAAAACACTTGTTGTACTTAAGCATAGGAAAGTGATTCAAATGAGATAATGCACATGAAATGGTGATACCCCACAAGACACTATATATGCAGCTATTTTAAAATCATTTTATAATTGAAAATTTCACTAAATACTTTGGACACTCCAAATGTAAAGTTGGTAGGCCAACTGAGGAACAAGATCTTTTATTTTTCTCTTTATCACTTTATCTTTGTACATGCCAAGAGCCATGCAGCAACCTCATTACTGAATGAAAGTTTACTAAATAAAGAAAAGAATAAATAAAAGAATGAATCCCTAGTCTTTCCTAGAATAAACTGAACTTAGGAAGCTTTATTTTAATGTTAATATGCCAAGAAAAAAAATATTTCAGAAGATAAAACCAACTGTAAAATCATGGGTGGTATTTTTGGAAACAATGAACCTGTCATTTGTCCCATTGCTTGAAAAACCAAACTGATGCATTACCTTGAATGTATGGTAGAGGCAAAGAAAATTTAAAAAAAAAAATGAAGGGATGGATCCAGGTTTTGTGGCATCTGAAGTTTACACGATGTTGATGCTGTTTTTTTGGAAAAATAAATTTTAAAATTACAACTATAAATTTAACTACACGTTCTTAGACAGGGACATGCAAGTGAGGGACCTGAAGCACAACTGAAGCATAAACTCCCTGGCTTCAGGCCAAATCAGCTTCTGGCAGGTTGGACAGAGAAACACCCACACTTGGGTTTTTGATCATTGCATTACCTAAACAATTGCTACAACTTTTGACTGTGGCTCTGCAGGATTTGAAAGATGCATAACACTATAAAAGTATTTAAATATGCTTTTAGGTATGGCAAGCTATCAAAATAATATGCAAGTAAAAATACTGTCTCAATTATTAGCAGGATCTACCTGAGAATACATGGTAAGCTTGATCCCAAACCTGTATAGATTCACAAGCGGAGTGAACAGATATGATCCATTTAGCCCCACTTAACTGACCATTTTCTGCAGAAGTTATAGTGGGAATAGAAAAATCCTGCCCAATTTCACACTACATGCACAGTGATTTAGTACCCAGCAACTTTTTAGTCACACACTGGCTTCCTATCTACTTTTTAGGAAGGTCTGTTTTTATTCTTTATGTCAAGAATCTAAATAGCTATTCTAGTAGCCTGCATAATGGAAACAGACTGGAATCTTCCAGCATTACTCATACATCTCCTCCCTTAAAAAATGAAAATAAAGTTCTTATATGTATAAAGATGCAGCTTTCCTCTATTGAGACGACAGGGTTTTGCTGGTGGCCTGAAAGTTACTTGCAAGCATAGACAGCTGATAATTGAACAAATAAGGTGACTAAAAAGCAGTGAGCTCAATATACCCTGCCCTTTTTATTTTTATAATTTCAATTCCAAATGATCAGTGAAGGATGAAGTACTTATTCTACCTTAAAGTAAATAATAAGAGCATTTTATTTTTTAACAGAATAGAAACCCAACACTCCCATTATTTCTAACAAAAGTGATGCACATGAAATCACACCACATTTTACTCCACAATTACAAAGGGAAGTTAGAGGGCCTAAAGTTGTAGTAGCGGACATGGACATTATTCACCTAAAAATATACTAAGGATAATATATTTCCATGTCATATGGAAAGACCAAGACAGCCAAATTAATGGGGACAAATGTAATCTTTTCTTCAGCAACATGAAAAATATGCTAACAAACTTGTATGTTCTTTAGTATGTCCTGCTGGGTTCTCTGCAGAAGTGAAGTGAATTGGTTTAACCTTGTTGAGTTTATCTTATTATGACTCCTTATCATTTTATAGGTTTACCATGTTAGTCACCAGTCTAAGTTATTGCAGAAACCAGTTAGTTGTTTTCCTAAAACCAGCTGGCCTAGTTTCTATCTATTGCTTTTTAACAATAACAAAAAAATGAGCCTTCCTTCCAATGTCTCAGAAATCTGATTTAGCAAAAATGGTGAGGGTGAGGAGATAACTCTTTGGGTTGTGATATATTTACATGAAACTCTATTTTCTGGACAAAATTAAAGAGATTCATATTGAAATCCAGGCACAGAATCAGAATCTCAGAAACATTCCTGCAAAAATATTTACTTTGCAAGATTAGATGACTACCAATTCAGATTCTGTGATTTTTTTTTTTTTTAAGAAGTCTCAGTCTGTAGCCCAAGCTGGAGTGCAGTGGCACAATCTCGGCTCACTGCAACCTCCCAGGTTCAAGCGATTCTCCTGCCTCAGCCTCCTGAGTAGCTGGGACTACAGGCGCGTGCCACCACACCTGGCTGATTTTTTGTATTTTAGTAGAGACGGGGTTTCACCATGTTGCCCAGGGTGGTCTCGAACTTCTGAGCTCAGATGATCCACTGGCCTCAGCCTCCCAAAGTGCTAGGATTACAGGAGTAAGCCACCATGCCTTGCCAGATTCTGTGATTTTTTTTTTTTTTAATCTCACAGAGAAAGATGACTACACATGAAAGTGTATTGTACTTGGGAGATGGACACCCTAACTACTCTGACTAGATCGCTATGCATTATATACATTAAAAAAATTCTCATGCACTCCATACATTTGCACAAATAAAAAGAAATTTGTGTTTGGGACATAATGGTTGAATGCATACCATTTTCTAAACTGTGTTCTGTAAAACATTTTTCCTTGAAAGATGCCAACAGGTAGACATCAAGTAAAGAGCCCATGGTCTAAATAGCAAATGATGTGCCTGATTATATTTCATCTACTGGAAATTCACAGTGCACATTGGCATCTTGAAGGCTTTTGGAAGTCATAGAGAAGTACTAGACTGAAGAAATCTGTTCACCAAATTTATTTGAAGAAAGATGTCATTTAAGTGCTTATTAATAACATCTTGCAGAACAGTGTATGGGGGAGCATCAGCTTGGGAAATGCTGAATCAGTAATTACATGGAGACCGTGATGATATATGCCATCAGGCACTTGTGGTGCTTTAGAAAGCTCTAAAAAGAACCTCCAAGGAACTCTGCAGCACTCAGGCAATCTGCCTCATTACCATCAATTATCATTGACTCCTGTATACATACGTGACATATGGAGCTATGGAAAAGTCTGTCAAATATGAAAGCTGTGCATGCCTCCATTGCATATAAAAGCTACCTCTTTAGATTTAGTCAAACATTTGCAGAGTTCCTGAGTTAGGTGGTATTCTATAAGCTACCTGCGTAAGTGGTTCTCAATCATGAAGCAGATCATCTGGAGAGGAGGGTAAAAATTCATCTTCTCAGGTCCCAGCACCGGTGAGTCTGACTGAGTAGATTTGAAGTAGCACCTGTATATTCATAACTTTAAATTTCCTTCAGGTATTCTTTTATATAGCCAAATTTGGGAACTACTGGTCTAGGCCAGATTTTCCAAGGATCATGTGTACAACATTTCCATAGATTGTGACAGCTAAGTCTAAACGTTTCCAAGGGTTGGTATCACTGTTAGAAACTCTTCCTTGCTTGAATCTAAAATGCAACTAAGAACTATCACTTTCTCATTGCTTACTAAGTGCTAAGCAATACACTAATCACTCTCAGGAATTATTTTGTTTAACTGTCACAACAATGCTGTAATGAAGATATTATTATTATCTGCTTTTAGCGGTGAGGAAAAGAAAACGTACAGAGGTTATATAACACCTCCAGGAGTCCAATTTTCAGTTCAAATACTTATTGAAAGTCAGGATAATTTCTCTTGTAGTAAACAGAACATAAGAAACATGGCATAGATGCTGTCATAGTCACCAACTATTTATGGAAATGTGACAAAAAGTATTTTTATTTGAAAATCTCCATTCTTGTAATGTAAACTAATACAGCTGCTGTGGAAAACAGTGTGGAGATTCCTTGAAGAACTAAAAGTAGAACTGCCAATTGATTGAGCAATGACACTACTGGGTATCTACCCAGAGGAAAAGAAGTTATTATTCGAAAAAGATACTTGCACACGCATGTTTATAGCAGCACAAGTCACAATAGGAAAATTGTGGAACCAATCCAAATGCCCATCAATCAACAAAGAAACTTTGGTATATATATATATACACGATAGAATACTACTCAGCCATACAAAGGAATGAATTAACAGCATTTGCAATGACCTGGATGAGTTTAGAGACTATTATTCTAAGTGAAGTAACTCAAGAATGGAAAACCAAACATTGTATGTTCTCACTGATTTGTGGGAGCTAAGCTATGAGGACGCAGAAGCCTAAGAAGGATACAATGGACTTTGGGGACTTGGTGGGAAGTGTGGGAGGGGGGCGAGGGATAAAAGACAACAGATATGGTGCAGTGTATACTGCTCAGGTGATGGGTGCATCAGGTTCTCACAAATCTCCACTAAATAACTTACTCATGTAACCAAATACCACCTGTATCCCAATAACTTATGGAAAAATAAAATAAAATAAAGAAAATCTCCATTCTTGTAAAAAAACTTGATCAGATATATTTTGGCTCATGTTCTGAACAATATTATTCAATGTAGGAATCTCTCTAAAGAGTTTTGTAGTCTACAAGCCCAAGAAAAGTTTAATGAGCATCAAGATATTTGCTATCACTATTTATTTAATGTTCCCAGAATTTGTTACATGAGGGGAGACTCCCTCTCTACTCCACCCATAAAAGGTACTAGCCATTTATGATAGAAAACAAAAAAAGTAGATCCTTGAAAAGTGATTCATGATTAACAGTAGCAGACTTCATATGTTCCTCAGTGATATCTGGTTTCCTGAGATCTTACAGTGAAATGATGTGTTACAAAAGAGTTATTGTTACTCATCAGATATTATTTCTAGCTTTGCTGATTAAGAGAAGCAACACTTATTCAGTATCTTGTCTTTGGAAAGACACACCTATATGGGAGGATCCTTTGCCTTTTAAAACAAGAATTTCTATTTTATTTTGTTTATTTCTATCTACATAACTACAAAAAATCAAAGATATATAATATTTCAAAGAAGAATCTTAATATATGATAGAAATGGATGAGTCAGCAAATGTCCTAAATTTATGAATGCAGAATTAGCCTAAATCTGAAAACCATCAGAAGGCATTGCTCTATTTTTTTCCTTTTTAGTCAGATCTCCATCTTGGGTTTTATTTTGGACTCCTCTTCATTCCTAACATAATTTTAGCTAAATGTTTAAGAGGATTTTAAGCTTCACTATTTCTAAGTGTCCTCCCATCTTGAAATGCTATGACACTTGCCGCAGTACATGACATGAACATATGGTGATTTGGCTCAGAAGTCCAGATAACCTTGGATTGAAATCCTGTGTTTCTCATTTAGCTACGTTCTGTTTTACAGATATGGACTATACCCATACTCTCATCTAATGTTTATGCCAGTGCATGGAGTAACGTGCAAGGGTATGAACAATTCTGGGAAAACTCATCTCCTCCCTGGATAAACAGTACAAACCCAATCCCATTTCCAGTGATGATTAAAAATAATCTTTGTACAAAAAGGGTAACCTACCACTATTAATACAGTTACACCATTTATTTAAAAAGAAATAGAGTTTGTGACATGGGGAAAATGGCATTGCTATATCCACAAGGCACTTAAATTCACTGTTTTTGTTGTTGTTGTTGTTGTTTGTTTGTTTTAGCAAGCCTGATATCTTTGGACAGAAGGAGAAATGAGAACCGAAGCAGGACTGCTCTGTTTGTGCAGCAGAATCCTCCATTTTTGGTGGAAAAGTGTCTGCCATTTGATGAACACTGAAACACTAATATTTTCATTTGCGGTTAGATTTAGGGTCAGTCATGCAGTCATGGCCTCATGCCATCTGTGCCATGTCACTCCAACTCAGGTACAAAAATGCAATTCTGGTATTGGAAACCCAGGTGTTGGAGCTAGGACATTTCTCTGAAATGCTAGCACCATTTCCCCTTCAGCAAGCTGTGTGTGTCCTTTCCAGTTCTCCTTAGGCATGATATAAAAAGAGTATTTTTAATTTAACTCCTCAGTACAATAAGTCGCATATTAACTATCAGTAGACTGACAGCTACATGCTATGGAAAATCACCAGGCTTATTGTAGTCCAGATTAGAAAGAGAATACAGAACTCTGCTGCCTCAGCTACATACAATCAGATATGTACAGAGAAACATTTTTTTTTTCCAATGGCATCAAGAAAGCCACATGTTGTTAGCAAAGTAACCAGCCCATAGACTGATAAAAACTGAACATATTATATCTTAGAGGTTAAAAAGCAATTATACTTTCTCGAGTGAAACCTTGGGTATTTCAGAACAAAAGGGTGTAGCTTGCTTTACTTTACATCAAATTATACGAGAAAATATTTCCAGAATGAAAGGAAGACAACATTTGTTGAAAGGTAGATTCCAAAGTCATCACATGCAAATTTAGAATATCAAAAATTATTTTGATGAGGGGTCAACAGGAATAGCCACAATGAATCACAGTCAACCACATTGTGTGAGTGGGAAATCATGATGTCATATCAGATGAATAGGAGACAAAGAGAATATCTAAGCTAAAGCACACCTCAGAAAAAGTAAATTGACCAGTGGGCAGCTATTGGTTTATGTAGGCATATTGTCTAAAAGGTGGGGTGGGGGAGGGAGGTTAAGTAGTTTTGGTAAACTGCCTAGGAAGTTAATACCACTAGTAAGCAAGGCATCAAGCAATCATGGATATAATTACCTTTTATCTACATATCTGTGTAAGGAAACAAGAACATCAGTCATATCAACTTTAAGTATATGTCACACATTATAAAGTATTATGCCATAGATGCCTTTGATGCAACAGTAGACATTTTCCTGGGAGAGGTATTGGATAGTAACAAATACTGGAAAAAGTAGCTTTTAAGATAATTCTCATTAAGTGTTACTTACATATATTAGTAAGATTCTTTCTAACTATCTATCTATCTAATCATTTCCTTGTGCCAAAATGAGAATTCCTAGATTTATCTAAATAACTATCTTAAAATAGATGCAAAAATACCACCATATAATCAATATATTTACTGATGCATTTCTAATATGGTTGGTCAAAGACAGACTGAAATTAGACCAGAGAAGAAATGACAAAATGGCCATAATTGCTTTCAAGACAATTATAAGACTAAAAACAATCAAGCAATTATAGACTCTCAGCTCTAAAATTGCCTTTAAAAAAATACAAAGAACTAACAAAACCGAACTGTTCAGCTCATACCAAATCTGCTTCATTTGATTCCCGGTGAGTTCAGACCTGGTGGCTGCTATTTCAAGCCTCATTTCTTTTTGACCTCAAATAATAAAGTTGAAGTCAGCCAGTTTCCATTCAGCCTTGTTGCATTGTTTGCCAGTTTATAAGGCTTTATGTTTGTACCAAAAATGTTACAGGAGGAAAACCACAAAGAAGTCACAAATCTGGGCAATTTTCCCTATATTACACAGATGTTAAAATTGTTGCAAAAGTTGCCAACCACTGGACATACTTGACAGCAGGAAATAATCCAAACAATGAAAATTCCAGTCACTATTTTGTTAACTCGTTATAACAAGAGACTGCTGTATTGAGCAACTGGTTCCTCTCCCTACCTTCCTTTTCTGTCTTCCTGCCATCCCTCCCTTCATCCACTGTCTATCCATTTTCTAGTATCATCTGTATGCTCCCTTAAGCTTCTCAGTCTAACAGAAAAAGACAAATGTAAAAAGAAAAAAACCCATGACAATATAAATTTATCTGAGCCTGGATTTCTCAACAGTAGAGCAGCTATCCTTAGCAGAACTGGCTCCTTACTTAGCAGAGTGGGCCACTCCTAAGCAGTATGGTCAGAGAGTCTAACAAATCCCTGCTTGACTTTATATTACCTAGCCAAACTTCCTGTCATGGGAGCACCTCGCTGCCAGAGAAGGGCTGATATTTCTACCATTAAAGCCATTTCAACTTGGTGTCAAGACATACTGTGAGAATTACCTTGTGTGAAGGCTTTCTCTAATTTGCTCTCTCACTCCATTACCATTCAGTTGCAGTTTGACTTTCTTTCTTCCCACAGTACCTGTGCTTACCTCTCGGTTAGCATTTCCCTCACAGTGCTGCAATTGTCTGAGAAAAGCAGTATCTCCCACTTCAGACTATGAGCCTTCAGGGCAAGGACTTTACCTTTTATATTAGTTTCACAACAGGTAGCAAGATATCTGGCACAAAATAGGTGCTCAAGAAATACTTCTTGAATAATTTCATTAGAAAACATAGCCTCCCAGGTGAGAATCACTGATCTAAACAATTCAGCTAATATTTACTGAGTATGTACTATGTTTCAAGCACTAGGTACAATTATGTGTGGCAGAAATAAAAAATCCATGCCCTCATAGAACTATATATACTCCAAGAGAGGGGACATACAACACACAAACAACAAATAAAGAGTATCATCAAATAAAGACTCAATGGGGTAAAGTTGTTTTAGGCTGTGATGACTTTACTGAGGAGGTGACCTTTGAGCTGAAACATGAAAGAAATGGAGCCAGCCAAGTGAACAGCAAGGGGTGAATGGTCCAGGCAGAAGGGACAGTTGTGTTAAGATGAGTAAGAGCTTAGGGTGCTCCAGGTACAGAATGGAGGGTATCATGCCTACAGCATTGCCAACCAGGGAAGAATAGTAAGAGATGAGATTTACCCTGTTGGTGGTGCCAGATTATACAGAGCTTTTAAAGGAAAGCTAGGAGTTAGGCTTTTATTTTAGGAGCAATGGAAACTCTTTGTAGGATTTTAAGCAGGAGGGGGATATAAGCCACAATTTATTTTAGATCGATAATGTCTTGGTCAGTGATGCAGAAAATACACTGAAGCTAACGACAGAGGAATTAGGGGCAGGATTCAAAACATTTAGCAATTCCTATAGCCTTTGGCATTTATCAATCAGAAAAGTTGCCAACCGGTCAGAAGGAACACTGTCCAATAGGCCATAATATTTGAATATAAGCTGAATACAGTAAGTCCTCACCTATATCAAGGATAGCTTTTTAGAAATTGTGACTTTAAGTGAAACGACATACAATGAAACTGATTTTACCATAGGTTAACTGATATAAACAAGATTAAAATTTCTATGGCATACTTATTGTCACAAAAAGTTAGAAAAACTTCTAAATAAAGATTCAAAACATTTCAAATATTAAACAGTGAAATTAATGTGAGTTATATATACATTTAAGAAAGATTAATGAAAACAAGATAGTCACTCAATTTTTGGTGAATCACTGAGTGATGGTAGTTGTAGTGGTAGTAAGGTAAATCAGGAAATAATTGATGGTAAAGTGAAAATTTTAAGAAGTTCTTGCTATTGTCTCACAGCTCAAAGACAATCACTGAATGCTTTTGTACTGCTTCATTTGTTGTTGTGCATTTGTAAGATTATTGTAATCCTACACATTTTTATTTGACAATAATTTGTATTCGTTCATTCATGCATTCACTCTTTAACCCATTTATTCCAGTTTAGGAATGCAGGTGGCTGGAGCCCATCCTAGCATCTAAGAGCACAAGGAACAAACCCAGAACAGGATGCCATCCCATCGCAGAGCACATTCACACACACACATACACACACAGGTACACACACACACACTCAGGCTGGGACCATGTACACATGCACAAGGAACAAACCCAGAACAGGTTGCCATCCCATTGCAAAGCACACTCACACACACATACACACACAGGTACCCACACACACACTCAGGCTGGGACCATGTACACATGCTGACTCACCTCATGTGCACTTCTTTGGGATGTATGGGAAAACGAGAATACCTGGAAAAAATCCACACCAACATGGGGAAAATGTGCAAACTCCACATAGACAGTGACCCAGCTGGGAATTGATTGCTTTTCTCATCAATGTTATAATGAAACAACGTTGAACAAAATGACATGATTTGAGAACTGCTGTAGTTAGTTAACCTCATAACAAACAGTGAGAGATAATGGTAGTATGAACTAGGTGGACAGTGTAAGTATGAAGAGAAATGAATTGATATAAAATATACTGGGAAGCTATAACTGACAAGACTTGCAGATAATTTAGACAGAAGGGGTCCTTAGGCAAGGGAGAAATGTTTGGTAAACAAAACTGAAAGGTTTGACTTGAGCAATCAATGATAATGGATGTCTATTCCACTTTAGTAAAGACTAGTCCAAAGTTCTGTTTTTAACATGATAAAGTTAGATGTCTATACCACATTCAGATATATGCTAAATAAGGGAATGAGCTTTCATATTTGAGCCAAAGGTAGTGGTCAAGACGGGAGGTGTAAATTTATATATACATGTATCAGTCTTTCATCGAATGTCTGGAAGAGATTACCTCGGGAAAGAGTAAAGAAAATAAGTTCAGAAAAAATAAAATATGAAGGAAAAAAAGAGGTGATGCCTACAGACAGGAATTTAGCAAAAGGAAGAAAAGGAAGCACCCTGTTTGAATTTCGTATATCTTCTAACTTTGCCAGAATTTGCCACTACTAGAATATCTGGTCTACAAGGTACCCCAAGCTCTCTGTCCTCCTACTTCTTTTGCCTCTATTAACCTTGATACCTTCCAAATTGGCTGCCAATTTTATTTAGGCTCTAAAATAAATTCATAAACTTACCAATACTGTACTTTTTTAAAAAAGATGTGGGCATGACAAGTATTTTTATATGCATTTAGTTGAGGCCAGATGGTTTTACTACATGAACAACATAGATGCTGGATCATCAGCTTAAAGCATGTGTGTGACCATGATGCTTTGGCTATTTAATTTAAAAAATAAAACTCATAATATTTACCATTGTTAATAGGTCTTTCTAAATATGAGGTATGTATATCTATATTTCAAAATATTTAGGTCATTAGCTCTCCTTTAACCTTCCGAACTCATACATTTGCGCACAGAAACATAAACACACATATACAAACACATATACATGCACATACTGTCCAAGTATTAGTAAACAGATGACTGATGATAATTCAGGAGTATATGTCAAAACCTACATTCTATTGCATACTATACAAAACATATATTCAATTATACACGTATGCATAATAACATCATGGCCCATTATCTCACTTATTTTGTGGCTAAATGATACAAGGCTAACATGACCAGGAAGTTAGCTAGCACAAACAGATTTGGGGGCTGTAAGTATAATAGTCTATACATGTAGTTGCTTTAAAAATATATCAGCTTTCTGAATATCATACGACTTTTTGAGTGTTCATGTATACAATACTTGTGATGACATTCATGCCTATCAAATATTTTGGAGAACTCAGTATGATTAGATAAAAGTGGAGTTTAGGTTTCGTGTAAAAGACTAAATAAATTGTAGTTGCAGCTGTGTTCCTGTGGCTAACGCTGCCCACAGCAGAGCAGAGAAGTTAGCGTAGTATACAAAGAATAGCAGTATTTTTCACTGTGGTCTGAGCATAATTTTAAAATTATGAATCTTAAGTCTAAACAAATGTTAAATGTAACATCATTTTTCTCATTCCAAATGGACTTATGAAAGTCATAATAAATGAATACTTAGCAAGCAAACTATAGAAGATTCTATTTGGGAAATATAAAGCTGTATTTCATTCTTCCACAGATGTCCACATCAACCACATTTAGTGAGAGTACTGCTCTTACAAGCAGTCCTAACACAAGGCTTTATCTAATAACGAATTAGGCCGGGCGCAGTGGCTCACGCCTGTAATCCCAGCACTTTGGGAGGCCGAGGCGGGTTGATCACCTGAGGTCAGGAGTTTGAGACCCACCTGGCCAACAGGGCAAAAACCCATCTCTACTAAAAATACCAAAATTAGCCAGGCATGGTAGCGGGCGGCTGTAATCCCAGCTACTTGGGAGGCTGAGGCATGAGAATCACTGGAACCCAGGAGGCAGAGGTTGCAGTGAGCCAAGATTGTGCCACTGCACTCCAGCCTGGGCAACAGAGACTCCGTCTCAATAAATAAATAAATAAATAAGAGAATTAAATATTCGATTCGTGTAACTCAGCTGATTTCCCTTCCTCCTTTCTTATTTACGTATTTATTTAGTTATTATCTTCCACCCTTACTTTCCTAATAGAACCATAGGAAGTCTTGGTCCTTTTAGCTTCTGACAGCTGATACATCGTTCAATTAATGACCAGATTTACAAATTTTATATCACTATAGGTAATATGCTACCCCTTAAGTGGTAGCTGTGCCACTCCAACAAAACTATAAGATACCTTACATCTAACAAATACCTTGTCTCTGAATCAATTGTTTGAGTTAGTCACTAGCCAGATTTTTTTCCCTTTATTATTTAACTGGAATATACTGTTTGACTACATCCCACATACATATTGACATTGTAGTTATTTGTCCAACCAGAAAATATTTACCATGGATTTATTTATACTCAAGGCATGACAGCATAGTATTGAGGAGTACAGACTCCCCAGAAGTTCAGTTTTTCCACTTACCAGTTTTTTTATTCTGGGCAAGTTATGTAATTTCTCTCTGCTTGAGATTATTTGTAAAATAGGTGTAACAACAATATCTGAGGGTATGAGTTAAGATATATTAAGCACTTAAGAGTGCCTGACATATAATAGGCTCTTAATGTTATACATTGCTATCATTTTAATTATTAAGATATGCTTGTCTATCTTATGTTAAGTACTAGGGATAGATTTCTGAAAAAGCTATTCCTGCACTGAAGGTATTTTCAGGGGGGCTTGGGCAATGTACAAACAAGACAGGTAATTTCAGAATAATGAGTGGTTTGACAGGAGTAAGTCCAGATCTTGAAATATTTACCCAAAATATAGGGAAACTAATTTAATGATGGATGATGAAAATAAATGATTACTATGAAAATTTGGGCATTTACTTTTCATCTATTTATAATAAAACATCAAAATTTTAAGTAAAATTAAAGAGTTTCTCCAGTTAAGTTTCATTGGAATTCCAAGTCACGTAAACAGAATCCTTCTTAACAATTTTAGACACCCATCTTTCTGTTTCACTGTGTTACTAATTTAATAGTCTACAACTTGTGTAAAACAGAGGTCATATATATTTTGTGGGGACAAAGTGTTACAGTAAATTCCAGAAAACAATCAATATCTAGGAATGAAAGTAGGAATCCTGCATAAAAAGTGTTTATATATTCTCTTTCATCTATTTATTGTTCTCTTATTGAGACTTACCTCAAAGTGAGGGGAATCATTTTAAAGACTGAATCTCTACATATGTATGTAATATTATTTGGTTCCTACTGACCTTCCTGAATTGTGATTACCTGGGTGTTGCGTATGGATAACGATTGAATGGAAATCTTTGATTGAGTGTATTTATTAGGTTGCTGAGCTATTTTGGGGTAGTCATTTCACCTAGCTGGCCTCAGGGGTACCAGTTTTTTAGGATGGTTAGCATCGTATATCAGGAACAGATTCCAAAATTACTTACGAATCAAATGTCCATTTAAAAGCCGTTGTTTTTAATGGATCCTATGACGAACCCTTTAGTAAAATAACTAATTCTATCTTCATTTCCTGGTACAAATTTTAATTTTGTCATTTTTCTTTTCTAATACAAGATTTTTTTAAAAGAATAAAAAAACAAATCCGGTGCTTTTGTAGGATGGAAAAGTCTGAAAAAATAGTTGGGAAGGAAAAGGGAAATAGAAAAGTTGAAGTTAGGAGTAAAAAGTTGAGAGAATAAAAAATGATACTTAGGGCAAACTCCAAAAATACTGGTGCTTTTGATGCCTTCTTTCCTTTGCATTGTCTCTGCTCTACTTACACGTTGATGCAAATTAAGTCTGATTTCAATTTAACTGTTTTCTTTCAGATTTTAGTATGAAAACTTTTAGTATTTGTGGAGGAACAAAAATATCATTTTGAAGAATGCATGTCCAGTAGCAATAAGACAACCTATGACTAGAAACAATGGACTTTTCACAGCCTATACAAATTTGTATGAATAAATCAGCTAACAGATATGTCAGAAATATTGTTTATAAATAGCGGAGTTCAAATAATAATATCCCATGGAACAGATTGTAGCAGTTCGCTATTACCATTGTAAAAACTCCACACCATGCTATATATATTCTATTTGCCATAATATATTCTATTTGTCAAAGAATTTCCCTCCATAAATAAAATTGTCATTTTACAGAGAAGTACACATAGTAATAGTTACTTGGACTTTGCTTAAGTATGGAAAAGCATGTAATGCTATTCTTAATTAATT
Organism: Homo sapiens; assembly: GCF_000001405.40. Taxonomy (NCBI): domain Eukaryota; kingdom Metazoa; phylum Chordata; class Mammalia; order Primates; family Hominidae; genus Homo; species Homo sapiens. The sequence continues at coordinate 152,814 of NW_013171804.1, forward strand.
GAAATATCAGTATATGCCCAAAGAGTTTCTCTGTATAAAAAATCTCAATTGTAAATATCATATATGAATAGCCAATTCAAATATTTACCATAAGAGATTGGTGACTTAATTATGAGAGTTCGATAATATGGAGATGAATGTACGTAGTGGTTCATGTAGTAAAATATGTTTCTTAAAACAACATTAAAATTTTTAAAATTTGGCAGAGGTATCAGTGAAATAAGGCTTTTCATGCTTTGTTGTAATGAATTTTAAAGACAGATGTACTATTTCTTTCATTTGAGGGGGAATTGTTTAGTCTACTGAGCCTAAGTAAGGGCCACTAGTTTTTTGTTTGTTTGTTTGTTTGTTTGTTTTGAGACGGAGTCTGTCTCTGTTGCCCAGGCTGGAGTGCAGTGGCACGATCTAGGCTCACTGTAAGCTCCGCCTCCCGGGTTCACGCCGTTCTCCTGCCTCAGCCTCCCGAGTAGCTGGGGCTACAGGCGCCCGCCACCATACCTGGCTAATTTTTTGTATTTTTTTGGTAGAGAGGGGGTTTCACCGTGTTAGCCAGGATAGTCTCGATCTCCTGACCTTGTGATCCGCCCGCTTCGGCCTCCCAAATTGCTGGGATTACAGGCGTGAGCCACCATGCCAGGCCTGGCCACTAGTTTTGAAGGTTGTGAATTTTCCTAAATCTTGCATGATTTGGGTAAAGTCCATCTGTACCTAATCTGCAAATGTGCAAATTACTACATAAAGTACATCAGTACCAATAATAATTTATACAACATTTTATGCATTGAAAGTCTTCTTGCAGAGGAAATTATTAAATATTAAACTAGATGAAACATGGGTCAAATTCAAGCTTTTAGACAATGGAGCTGGAAAAAAGTATCTTTATTTCAAAGGAATTATGACACCTTCTTTGGAGACATAGTATTCTCATTCTATTAATAAAAATAAACAATAAGAAGAAGTCAGTCTCTTTCTAATTTAATTAAAAGGATGTTTGATTTTAATGCTTCATTCAATTTACTTTGTCCCTAACCAAATATGCAATCATAATTAAATGAACTGTAGGCAATGTTGCAGATTCCAAATCTTCTTCCCATGCTATAGGGAATGAATGGACTACACAACACTAATACTTGTGTGCAAAATACATAGGGCTAGATACTCACTTTGTTTTTAAAATCAAAGAGTAATATATGATTAAGTGCTATATAAAAGAAGGAGAATGTGTTGATGCTGAGAATAGGGATGGCATATATAATATTAAGTTATATTCATTTGCATATCAGATAAAGTCCAATGCAGGAAACAAAAGACATTAGTTTTTCTTTTTTCATTTTTTAAGTTACTCTAAGGGTAGTGATTTCAATAGAAGATATTTTAATAATATTATTTCTCATCTATTTCATATCATGCAATCAGGGTTATTTTTACAGATGTAAAGGAATTCCTTTTCTAGTGGTTTCTGTATTTGGCTAATCAGAACAAATGAATGCATGTTAAGTACAGATTCCAGGGCCTATCCTAAAACCATTGGAAGAGAATTACACAGAGGTAGGGCAGGTGTTGGCTGGCAGATAGATGGTGATGTTGTCTGAATATTTAAAGACTCCTTCCTAGGTTATTCTTACGATGTTCCAGGCTTGGCAAGTTTCCTAAAATTTATTTTAATAACCTGCTCCCCGGGGACATTTATTTTGCATAACTTGGAGCTCTCTAAATATTAATCAACATTATCTTCAAATAAATAATATGGATTCAGTATCCATTTAATATAAGATGGTCAATTCATTTTAAGAAATTAAGAATTAGAGTGTATACACTGAAAGAAAAGCAAAAGGGAATTTCTAGAAATATTTCATAAACAAAGTAATGTGTGCATGGCAAGGGAAGCTTTTTAAATGAGTTGTTATAAAAAAACTCACTTTTGAAGACATGGATACATAGGGATTTTAGATGTGAGTACTGTGTCAAAATCACTATTGGATCACACTGGAATATGAAAGAAGCATTGTTCGGTTACTGAACAATCGCAGTCATGTATGGCCACTGAGTCTGTAAGGATGCTGCACACAGACTTTTCAATTGTTTTTTATCAGGAGAAACAGCACAGGGCTTTAGGGAACAGGGGCTGAGCTGCCTGTGCACATGTAGAATGAGAAAGGCTCCCACTTCCTCGTAAGGGCATCAACACAGTCCCAATTTACCCAGACCACAACAGCACTGAAAGGGAACTGGGTAAGACTCTATACAGCTTGAGCAAGAAGACTTCCATACTCTAATAGATCTCTCAGACTTAACATTTGTGAAATTCCACACCTTACCTCCATCCCCAAATCTGCTACTCCTGCAGTCTTTGGCACCTGCAGTTTCCAATAGTTCATATAGAATCATTCTTTTTTTTTTTTTTTTTTTTTTTTTGAGACGGAGTCTCGCTCTGTCGCCCAGGCTGGACTGCGGACTGCAGTGGCGCAATCTCGGCTCACTGCAAGCTCCGCTTCCCGGGTTCACGCCATTCTCCTGCCTCAGCCTCCCGAGTAGCTGGGACTACAGGTGCCCGCCACCACGCCCGGCTAATTTTTTGTATTTTTTAGTAGAGACGAGGTTTCACCTTGTTAGCCAGGATGGTCTCGATCTCCTGACCTCATGATCCACCCGCCTCGGCCTCCCAAAGTGCTGGGATTACAGGCGTGAGCCACCGCGCCCGTAGAATCATTCTTGACTCTCTTTTCCTCTATTCCCATCTGTTAATCTATCAGCAATTCTCTTGGCTTTACCTTCTCACACCTCCACTTGGTCTATGCTTGCTAAACTGGAATACAGCAGTAGCCTCCAAACAGGTCTCTCTGATTCTCACCTAGCCAAATTGATAGTTTTAAATTGGTACCACATCTCTTTCCACACAAAATTCAGTGATTTTCCAAATTATCGAGAGTAAAAATTTAGGTATTTGAAATGCCCACAAGGCCCAGTGGAGACTCTCCCTTTCTCCTCCCAGGACACTCATGGCTGCTTCCTCTGGCTATTTTGTCTTCATAGCACTTTTCATCATCTGACTTGCTGTGTGTTTTACTTTCTTATTTCTTTATTGCATGATTCCTACCAAGAGACTGTATCATCCTTGAAATCTGGTATTTGGAGTGCGTGTGTGTGTGTGTGTGTTTTCACTCTATATTCCCAGCCCTTAAAACACTGCCGGGTACATTGAAGGTGTTCAATAATTTTAGAAATGGTACATAAAAATCAGTAGTTATGTCACAGGATGTAATCTTAGCAGACAGAGGTAAGGAACGTTTCCACAATATAATCAATGATTATAGGCCCTTTCTGTGCAATGACACAGTCATGGACTCATATGCGCTTTATGATGCTTTACCTTGAATTTCATTAATTTGAGATCACATGTCTATGTTAATGAGATCATAAATTCCTTGAGGTAAAGGGTAGTGAGTTGTGTCTGGAATTATAACTTTACCTAAGTTTAAAGACGTATCATATTTTGCCTCAATTTGCAGAACTGAGAGAGGACTCATGTCTTTCCACTCTGATTGTATGCTTTCAACTCAGAAGATTTTAGACTTCAAACAATTCCTCTGGCACCTAGTATGATACTTTGTACATAGTAGAAAAATACATTCAATATCTCTTGATTTATCACTTCCTATGTAATCTTTTGGTTCAGAGAAACATTTAACCTCCCTAGTTCTGGATTGAATTTTTTGAATAAAACAGCCCAAATCGATGTGTGTATACACAGAGTTTAAAGGATTGAAGATGATGAGATCATTTTCCCTGTGATGGCTGCCACCAGGACTTCTTCACATTGCTGTTGACTAATTCTCATTGCAAGAGTTAGTGCTGGAGAGAAAGAAAATGGCTTTCAATGCTTTCTGTTACATTCCCAGAAGGTGGCTAAGTGCGATAGGAGACACTAAAGAGGGAAAATATTGGATTTGAAGCTAATTACTAAGGAAATGCTTAGTAATTCATTAATCCAATACTGAACTCACTTTATGCAGGATTATTTGGGTCAAAATATTGTGAGCATATATCCTATGTTAGAACTTTGGCTATGAATGTTATATTGTAACAATTTATTTTGTTACATACTTTTTAATAGTTTAAAGATAGAATAGCAGCTACATTTGGTCACAACTAGAAATATTCAGCTTGAAAAAAACCCCACAGTTTTCTGTCATCCCTCTTGTTCTTCAAAAGTTGAGCAGGCATTTTGGAATAAGCTCATTAGTTTATGACAACCATTTAAATATTAATGATGACAATAAAACGTTATTTTTTCATGTGAAATCATCTTATAAATTATATACATGCACATGTGTTCATGCACATACACACATGCACACACACATACATAGTAATTTGAGAGAACAACATATTTCTTTTGCTAATGAAATATCTCAACCTCATAACATACCGTCATAGTATAGAAAGGTGAATTCTCAGCTTTTACAACTTCATCAAATGTTGAATACTGAGTAATTCACTGTGGTAAGGAGTTTATGTTCACATTAAGGAGAAAAAAATGGCAAGCACTAGAAGCTCAAGTATTTTCATTCCAACTTGATTTTTAAGTCTCTAATTAACATCTTTTGGTCATGGTTGTTTTTAGATTAACATGGCTTAATTACTTTATTATAAGGTGTTGGTAGCATTCTATAAAACATTTTTCTCTTTATTATTTACTTATATATGTTAATTTTTAAAAGCTGTAGATTCTCATTAAACAAAATACAAACACTTTCAAATCATCATCTGAACTCATTTTCATAAATGTAGATAAAAGTGGTAAAAAACGCAATTAATGGAACACCTCAAATATAATCACTACTTAGATTCTAGAAAAAAGGTTAAAAAGAGAAAGACTAGCAAGTGAAATGATAATATGTGAAATCAAGAGTAACTTAATTTTACAAAAATTAATTCTCTTTTAGTAAAACAAATAGTCCAATGGTTAAAAATTTTTCAACTGCAGTGTTTCCATGTAGTAGTTTAAGATTTTCAAAGAGGGCAGCAGTTTATCTGTATGTATTTGCCCCTGTAGATAAATTTCTTGAAAAAAGGATCAAAACATCAATCATTATGTTCTTTGTCTATATGACAAGTTTAACATAAATGTAAAAAGAAAATGGAACTATGGAAGAATTTTGGAAGTAAAATAAACCCTATCAGTATTGGAGTTGTGTATTTCCAATGGGTGAAATGCCTATTTGGGATTGCCTTCAACTGGTAGGGGATTTACTCTGTGCCTGGCTTGCTCAGGGATAAACTAGATCTCCACTGGCAGTGCAGTGAGAGAAAGGTGATGTTTTCTTCTTGTTTATTATTTGGTCTTTAACTATAAAGCATTAGCTTTTTCAACAATCACAAAAGCCCCACTTTACATGATTTCACTTGCTCAAGATGTAATTTATTGCTAATGGAATCACAGAAAAATGTTTTCACTGTTTCTGGAATGCAGAATCAAGTAAGGCAAATTGCTATTGAAGAGGAATTATTGATTCTTGTTATAATAGCTGCATTTCAGCTTTAATACATGAAATTTTATTTTTATTGTTTCAATAATTTATATTTAAGCCTCAAGGTTTCTGTATAACCTTCCTTGGGCTATTTTGTTTTAAACCAGGTGTGACAATTTTGCCTTAATGTATCATTCTCTTGGTCTGTCTTGAAAACCTTAATTGAGTAGATGCTATCAAACTGGGTTTGAGAAGTTGTAAAGTTACCAATAACTTGCTTGGCAAACTTTGTCAAGAAGCTTTATTTTGTCCTCAGTTTTTCTGTCTGAATATATAGGAGACTGAATGAAGAGATATATAACCCCCCTCTTAATATCTCCAAAGTTATAAAATTATTATTTAACTCTCCATAGAATAATCAAGGGTGCATATTGAAACCATGGATGAACTTCTTTATGAAATGTGTTGAACAAGGACTGGTGCTGTTTTCTAAACAAATTAGTTTATTTACTATAACAAATTTATTAAGCAAAAATGTTAATCAAATCAAAATTAATCATTACTGTACTCTCACAGGACATTGTACTTTGCTTAAAAGTGTTTCTCTGACAGTTGTATATTACAGCTGGATTCCTGGTGCATCCATTTGTCTCATGAGGTTGCACAAGCCACAAAGAGCAGGGAATAAAGTTGTTCTTTACTTATTTTATTTCCAGACCCAATTCAGGTCTAAATAATATCATCTTCCATTTCCCGACCATTGTTTTCATTATATAATATTTTGACTTTCCCCAAAAGAATTCATGCATCAGGTATTATTACCTCATTTTGTAGCAGAGAAAACAGGTCAGAGATATTTAGTTACTTGTTGAAAATGATAAAGATGTTAAGGGATAGAGCTGAGATACTACATAGATCTGTCTGATGCTAAAGCTCAAGACATTTCTCCTATGATAGACCAGAGCAGATGAATAATACCTGTTAAATCAAAGGCAAAGAAATCTTTTTTTTTTCTTCTGGAAACACTGTACCTAAAAACTTCCCAAAATGTGACTCTTTTATCTGACTATAAAAAGAAATAGCAAAATCAATTATATTACACAGTATCTGCATCAGCTTTATCATCTCCTAAATAGGGATATAATATTGAGATGTGGTGAGAGTTAAGTATAATTATTTATATGACATGAAATAGCTTATGTACCTGACACAAAGAAGTTCTCAATGACTGTTATGTACAATTATTATTATCATTATTGAGTACTATTTGCACTTAAAAGTCAAACATATCTTGAATCAGAGGAAGTTCTTACTTTTAGAATAGCTCTACCAGAAATTAAGAAATATCACAAAATATGCTTCTGTAATTATTTTAAAGGTGACTTGTGACCATTTACCCATTTCTTTCACTTTTAATAAATGCCTTAACTTTTTAAAAGTATAGTGTGTTCATTGTGCCAAGGAAAGATGACATCTGTGTTTGTGTGGGGAGGGAATAACCACAGTTTTAAGGTACATTCTTTAACTTGATTTTACAAATTGAACGTTATGAGCAGTAATTTAATTTATGCTACACATTTTAATTCAGAACTAAACAGTTCTGTATTTTAACACAGAGTTGTTTATCTAGAATAATGTTTGGCATTAATAAGCATTTTTTTGATATCTATTTATTTAAAAAATGAACAAATTAGGCCCTTTTATGTTTAATATAATGCTACCATTCTAGGCTAAAATTACAGTTTTTACACAATTAATGTTATATTTGGTTATTATAACTACCCTAGACACTAAGTAATAGCATAATAACAATAATAGTTACAGTAATCTTCATTAAGGTATTATATTTACTTATTTATGTGCTTAAAAACATATAGACACTAAATAGCAGAGCCAGGATAGACTCTCAAATCCAAATTTGGGTATCATCTATTCTTACTAGCTATGCAGGAGCCCCCCTCCCCCCCGCCCCCACCTTATCCGTGGGGGATACATTCTGAGACTCCTAGTGAATACCTGGAACTGCAGACAATTCTGAACCCTATATTTACTATGTTTTTTTCTGTAATAGTAAGTCCTCAATGACATCCACAGGTTCTTGGAAATGTGACTTAAAGTGGAACAACATACAGCAGGTCCTCAAATAACATCGTTTAGTTCAAAATTGTTTCTTTATAATGTTGATGAGGAAAAAAATTGATTTTCTTATAAATTGTTTCAGTTATAGTCCCAGTTTTCAATAACCTATGTATGACATTAACTGAAGACTTAACTGTACTTACATCCCTATGATAGAGTTTAATTTATAAGTTAGGCACAGTATGAGATTAGCAACAATAACTCATAACAAAATAGAACAATTAAGTAAAAGAAGCATTACTTGAACACATGCTCTGTGATACCGCGACAGTCGAGGGTGGCTACTAAGTGACTCAGGAATGGGTAGCTTAGAAATTATAAATAGGCCGGACAAAGGGTGGATTCATGTCCTGGGTGGGAAGGAGTGGGACTGCACAAGATTTTCATCATGCTTCTCAGAATGGTGCAAATTAAAACTTATGCATTGTCTATTTCTATCGTAATTTTCCATTTAGTATTTTCAGACCATGGTTGACCACAGGTAATTGAAACTGCAGAAAGTGCAACCACGGCTGAGAGAACCACTGTACCGGCAACAGTGGCTTTCTATGAGGTTGTGATTGAACTATTCTACCCTTAGGGAGATGCATATTTAATATTTCAGACTAATTAGTGTAAAAATATAAAAAGGATAAATTTGAAGAGTCCTAGTACCCTGGTTGTCCATGATTTGCATTCATTACGGAAATGGTGGGAATATCTAGTATAATTGTATATATACCTCCCGCTGTTCTTGATGAAGAGAATGGATTATTTTGTTTGAAAAAAGATTTATTATAGTCAGGAAACCAAAGTCAATGAGCAGTTTGTAAGACTGAAGAAGAGTCTAACATTTCTGGAATGAAGTTACTATTAGGAACTAAAGAAAAAGTCCCTTCATAGGAGTTGGGTCACTATGTAAATCCATGCATGGAAAAAAAAAAAGAAAAAGAAAAAGAAAAAAAAGAAAAAGCCCTGTTTGGCTGTTTTCCAGCAAGACTAAATGCAGTGTTTTATCTTGATAGATTACATACACCCCACCTTATTTTCTCCTGTATTGGCTAACCCTTGGTATATGTGTACATACCCACATATTTAAATCCCCACTATTTTTTTTATACTTGTCTTCTTGTGTAACACCAAATCAAATAGAGAGAAATACTAAAGAAGGACAGATATAACCTTTGAAAAATATCTGAGGGTCTCCAAGATTCAAAAGCTCAGCAGTCCAAGCAATAGCAACATTCAGATGACAACCGGGACTCTGGACTCTTTCAAGACGCTGGGGATTGGAAAGCCACTGTGACAGAAACAGTGCTACATCTTTTTTTATTTTTTTGAGACGGAGTCTCGCTCTGTCGCCCAGGCTGGAGTGCAGAGGCGCGATCTCGGCTCACTGCAGGCTTCGCCTCCCGGGTTCACGCCATTCTCCTGCCTCAGCCTCCTAAGTAGCTGGGACTACAGGTGCCCGCCACCACGCCCGGCTAATTTTTTGTGTTTTTAGTAGAGACGGGGTTTCACCGTATTAGCCAGGATGGTCTCGATCTCCTGACCTCGTGATCTGCCCGCCTCAGCCTCCCAAAGTGCTGGGATTACAGGCGTGAGCCACCGTACCCGGCCAAACAGTGCTACATCTTTAACAACTCCCATTTCTTTTTCTTCCTGGGAATGAAGCTGGACTACCTTTCTCAATTTCCCCTGTGGTTAGAAATTAGATTCGGTCATATGATTGAGTGCCAAAGACATATAAACAAAATTATATGGAATTCAAGCTTGGTGTTTAAATCCTGTAAATATTCCACTTATATTTTTTTCTCTGTCTCTGTCTCTCTGCTCCCCCTTCTCTTCTTCCTTCTCCTCTTCTTCTTCTTTTTCTCTCCTCTCTTCTCTCCCATCCTCCCCTCCCCTCCTCTTCTCTCTCTCTCTCTGTCTCTCTCCATCTGCTTGCTTCCCTCCCTCCCCCTTCTCTCTCCTCCCCCCGTCTTCCTCTCCCCTCAGGGGAAGACTATTCCCCTGAGGCACTACAGACCCTAGGTTCCTGAGTCATTTCATGGAACACGGCACCTGGATACTTGCACTGGACCATAACACAGGTAATTAAGAAAGGTTTCTTGTTTTAATGCAGTGAAATTGTTGGGTAGTTTGTTATAGTGGTTATCCTACCTTGACCACTTTAGAATGGTAGCTTCTGTTTTATAGACAACCTTATTAGCACTGGAAGTAATAAGCCACAAAGTAGTTTATTATTTTTCCACTACACTAAAATGTAGTTCCAGAAAAGGATAAATTCAATACATTATACTGTTCTCCTTAGCCACCCATGTTTCCTCTTTACATAATTGAGACCAAATCTCCGGGAACAGTGCACATCATGAAGAATGAAGAATCCCTTTCACACCAACACCCATTAAAAAATCTGATATAAATATAGATTTATATATTATAAATATATTATCTGGTATATACCTAATGTAAACATATATTTATATATTATCTCATGCATATTAATATAAACATATTCATATATTATATATCTCTATATAATAGTTATTAACAAAGTTTCTGGGAAAGTCAACTATTTATTCTGGAATATATGCTTGGGGCATGAAGGTGGGCCATGGGAATCGTGGAGGTTTATCATTAATAGATTAATAGTTTTGGCTTTCTCATGTCCCCTTTCTACCAGAGAGCAATAATAATGCCTGCAAGGCATGTGGTTTGACTGCTACATAGACATATTCATCCTTATAGCGATTATCTTAGTAGAGCTCCATTAGGAAATTAAAACTGGGTGCTGATAAAACTGAGTAATTCAATGTGCCAGTCTGTTCCTTGTGCTTGTAGGGACCATCTGCAGTTCTGCAAAACAAGTGTGGGTTGTGGACAGGTGCTCTTTGAATGCAGGCTCATTATCATTTAAGCTCCGCAGAGGCAAATCCCATAGAAGCCCTAGAAGAGCAGCAAGCAGGTGTGCTGGCGCCATCTCCAGAGAACTCTGATGCCTCCCTCCTGAGAGGCCCAGTAACAGGACCACCAGGATGACTGGCATAAGGGACAGGAGAGGTGGGTCAATGAGCAGTGAGTTATAGTCTCCCTAGCTGAGGTTTTAGAATGAGCTTGGGAGTTTTATTCTTACAAATATATTTTCTTCATCACTCTTTGAACTTAGTCCTAATGCAATGACGGGTAAGTGGTTGCCATCAGCAACTTCAAAATTAATTTACTCCTTTGGCGATGAAATCAATTCTTAGAAATTTTGCCAAAGTTAGCAGTGACTTATGTTCACCTGGTAGTCTTTAAATTGCCTGTTGTATTTTAATATTTTCTAATAGTGTTCATTGCATGTTTAAGCTTAACTAGAGATGTTTGTAACTTCTGTACATCACTTGATATAAAAAGGAACTGCTACATTTATCTGAAGCTATACAGTAGCAGAGGACAGGAAAGAATTCAGAATTTCTGACTCCTGTAATTGAATTC